>NC_000006.12:96585941-96737456 GCF_000001405.40 Homo sapiens | reverse complement strand
ACACACCTGTGTTAGACAGGCTTCTCCAAAGAAACACAACCAATAGAATATATCTAGATATATAGAGATTTATTATGAGGATTTGGCTCTGGGATTATGGAGGCTGAGAAGTCCCCCAATCTGCCTTCTGCAAGTCGGAAGCCCAGGAAAGCTGGTGGTGTAGTTCCAGTACAAACCAGAAGACTTAAGAACCAGGGAAGACAATGGTGTAAGTCCTACTCTGAGTCTGAAGGCCTCAGAATCAGGGGACCAATGTCTGAGGGCAGGAGAAGATGAATATCCCAGGTCAAGAAGGGAGAGTGAATTCACTCTTCCTCCACATTTTTTGGTCTATTCAGGCCTTAAACAGATTGGATGATACCCACCTGCATTGGTGAAGGCATCTTTATTCAATCTACTGATTCAAATATTAATCCTCCTGGAAACACCTTCACAGACACACCCAGAAATAATATTTTATCAGCTATCTGGGTATCCCTTAGCCCAGTCAAGTTGACACATAAAATTAACCATCACAACATCCTTGAATTTCTTCTTTTCCTATTTCACTGTCCACAGTGTGCCTCTTTGTTGCCCTGGGGTAACTTGCAAAAATAAACCACCTCGGCGGGTGCCTGTAGTCCCAGCTACTCGGGAGGCTGAGGCAGGAGAATGGTGTGAACCTGGGAGGCAGAGCTTGCAGTGAGTCGAGATCGCGCCACTGCACTCCATCCTCGGTGACTGAGCGAGACTCCGTCTGAAAAAAAATAAAATAAAATAAACCACCTCAAGAAAGCCTGTGCCTCATAGGTTCTACTTTTGAAAGGAGGAGGGGAATGCTAAGGCAGGCACAATGAGCAGCAGCTTATTGACATTTCCTGAGAACACTTGCATTTAAAAAGATAGAAAACAAGCACACAAACTAAAAACAAAATCAAAGACTTGTTCAGCACTGTGTCCCAAATTATAGTTGTGTAATGCTTTTATTTTTTTAACCAACATATTAACAATATGTTATGTATCCTATGCAGTAGCACTCAGGCCCTGCATTAGAAGGGTCCTGTCTTTGGTTTAATGCTCTGGTGTCACCTTTTTTTTTTTGATGGAGTCTGGCGCGATCTCGGCTCACTGCAAGCTCCGCCTCCCAAGTTCACGCCATTCTCCCACCTCAGCCTCCCAAGCAGCTGGGACTACAGGTGCCCACCACCACGACCGGCTAATTTTGTTTTTGTGTTTTTAGTAGAGACGAGGTTTCACCGTGTTAGCCAGGATGGCCTCGATCTCCTGACCTCGTGATCTGCCTGCCTCGGCCTCCCAAAGTGTTGGGATTACAGGCGTGAGCCACCGTGCCCAGCCTAACTTCTTAAAGCCCTTAGTAATTCATGAAAAAAGGCTCCACATTTTCATGTTGCACTAGACCCTGCAAATTATGTTGCTAGTCGTGACCTGGGATAAATGGAAAGAAATTGTTCCTATATGATTTTTCATATTTGTTTGTTTTCATAACGTGCTTGAGCGATTCTTCATACCAAAGACACCTGAGTTTCCCCTTTCTCTCACCTTGGGGGATAATAGACCATTCTCCCGTCTTCTCACACCTGTAATACTTTAGCTGGACATACAGAGACACAATAAAAAAGAGTTGCAGGAAAGGGAAGTAAAGTTCAGAAGAAAGGGGAAACTCAAGTGGTTTTAATATGAAGAATCACTCAAGCATGTTATGAAAACGAACAAGCAAGCAAGCAAACAAACAAAGCTAGTTATTGAACCACCAATTATTTCAAGAAAAAAAAAAAACAGCTCCGCAGAGAAACATTTCTGGAACCATCTGGAGATTTGCAAGGCTTTGGTGGAATAGAATGTTTTTATTTGGGGAGAGAATAATAAATCAAAGATAATGCTTGAAAGGAAGGGAAAACAACCTTGTACAAATATTGATTTTTAGAGACCATAATGTGACAAAGCTCCGATCGATATGCAAAATAAGTTCATGAATATTATCTGATGGATTGAAAAGATGCATCTGAATTCCTTCCCAGATTTTTCTCTGATAATGTAGAAGGAAATTGTTAACTATCAGTTGAAAGTTGATCTTTTTAAAGCCTAGCTTTTACATTATTAATATGTGCTTCATTGTGTTTTCCCCACATACCAATTATTTCTGGGGAAAGCAGCATGTTAGTTGCAAGCCATTTTTCTGACAAAATATGCGGCTGTTTTCACCCCTTGGGACCCCTGGGGACTTAAGAAAAAAAAACGCTTTTATTTATCACACACTAATGTTTAATTATTTAATTTCAGGGAGCGTCAATAAGAGGTCTGCAAAATTGTTTCCATTTTATTTTCTTTTAAAAAGTAATAATGTAAGAGCCAAACTCTGTGCCCTCATGTGCTGGTTTCTGCAATAAATGTAATTCTGCAGGACCGATGCATCACTTTGCATGGAAGATATCAGCCAATGGCGTTTACTAACAGCAATGCATGCCCTCATCAGCTGCCATGGTCACAAAGCTTTTTATTCTTTCTTTTCAGTCTCATTCAACCCCAGAAATGTTAGTCCTTTTCTGGAAGTGTAAACAGGTCAGTGAATTAGATGATATCAGTCTGCAAATCTTATGTGCTTTCTTTGTTTGCCTGATTTGGTATCAAGGCCTTCCTCTGTATCTGATAATTCAAGAATGTGCCAAGCCTTTGATAAGCTGTTACACCCTCAAATACACTTTCTGTTCTAAAGCTAAGTTTTGTTTGTCACTGTGTAGCCTCATGTGGGCTTTAATAAATTTTGGTTAAATAAATGAGGTTGACAGTTCCAGCCATTCTGTCAATCAGGAGGATGAGCTTTTATTTAGACATTAAATAAATGAGAAAATAATGAGTTGCATGGATTTGATTTTTACTTTTGTAAAATCTAACACAGTAATTTCATTGATATTCTGTATACTGAGAACGTATATCAACAGAATGACCTGCTGAAATGATTACATTGTGTCGAAAGCGAGAAAGTGAATCTGAATGAATCTAGGAAACTTTTGCTGATTCTCCATGCTATTACTAAACTATATTTCATGTTTTATATTTTTATAAAACATGAAACATTTAAATAAATGATAAAAGAGTAGCATCTTACCACTTAAGATTTATGCACCATATCTTGGCCTAGCATATGAGTTATGCCCCTCATTATTCTAAATCTTTATAGATTTCAGATAAATGTATAGAATGAAAAACTGGGGTTCAAAAATCGTAAATATCTTGCCTGTAGTCTCTTTGTGTAGAACTCATGAGTCTTTTTAGTTTAGTATTTGTCAGGTTGATCATTCTGCTGTTAGGCACTTTTTTCATCTGAGCCATTTTAATAGGTGTACTAAAAAAAAAAGTACCACAGAGATATTTTTATACCTATCATGTATGGAAAAGTATAATCTGCCTGCCTTATTGAATATATTTTTATGATGAAATATTTAACTGAAAAGTATAATTATTAATGAATTTTACAGTGACCAATAAAGTATTTGAAGTATAAAATTCAATTCCTCGAGTATCTAATGAAATGAATTTTGGATGCATGTGGTGGTATATAATCTACTACCTCATAAGTTCTCTGTGGAATTAATACAGTGTTTTTATAACATAAGCCTTAATTTCAATTCTTAAATTGACATTTTTCCCTTACTTAAAGCTTAGCAACTCTTGAAAAAACAAAATGATTGCTTTATTTAGTAGCTTATTAGAACAATAACATTCTTCTGGCCTTGGAACTTTATAGTAAGAACTGAGATGACCATCTGCTGAAATCACAATAACTTTGGTGTGTTTTAAAAGGAGAATTATGTAACATGTACAGAAAATAATAATTGAGAATGAGTTTTACCCACACATGCATGTACACACTCATACACACACACACACATACATACCTACACAAAATATACTTTAGTAGGGTGGCCATATACCAGTATTATTTACATAGGGATAATAACAAAAGTAAATATTGAGTATATGTGTGTGTGTGTGTGTGTGTGCGTGCGCACGCGTGTGTGTGTGTATAATGGCTTCCAATAATATTGAAAGCAATATTCTACTGTGAAGTATTTCCTGAAAATTCTCTGGGTCCTAATACAAATTCTACTCTTAACTCTGACCTGTCAAATGTTAACAGTTACTGTACACTTGTCAGATCCTGGACCCCCTTTTGGATCTCCATTCTCCTTGACCTCCTTACTTTTTTGCTTTTTTGCTCATCTCCTCTTTGGTAAGTTCTCTCCTCCTATGGACTTGGGTGCTGTGAGCACTGGGTTATTCTCCTGGCTCAATAATTGTTTTTAAGAATAGCTCTATCTCCTCATCTCCTCTTTGGTAAGTTCTCTCCTCCTATGGACTTGGGTGCTGTGAGCACTGAGTTATTCTCCTGGCTCAATAATTGTTTTTCAGAGTCTGCTCTATCTCCTCATCTTCTCCATATCCTGCTTTGTAGCCTTCCTCAACTTCAGTCCTCAACCTTTATTCTTTCTTATTCTCATTCTTTCCACTCTCATTCATGCTCTTGTCTTCAACCCTTTTACTTTAGAGGCAAATAATGCTTTTGAAATGGCTTTCAATAAATTTTCCTTTCTCAAATATTTCCTTTGCTTCCTCTGCAGTCTTCTATCCTTAAGGCCAAGTCATGAGACCTATGCTTATTGCTCTAAGGAAGGAAGTAAAAGATTCTGTCTACAACCAAGAAGTCACTGTGAAGTCATTGCTCAAATATGACATTTTAAAGTCCACGGAGAGACAATAAGAAAACTAACAGGCTGTTTTAAAATATTCAGATAAATTTGGAGGATTCAGGGTTGCAAAGGTGCAGTTCAAGAAAGCCTTCCTGAATCTCAGAGATATCTGCATTTAACACTATCATGTCCATCACGATGTGGGAATGGCTGAGTAACAAAGACAGAGGGAGGAGAGCTAAGTCGTTGGGCTTGATGACAACTTCACTGGATCTAGTACACTTCAGAATGATGCAGAGGAAGCAACTGAGAATTCCAAGGGAATTATCTCTAAGAGGCAGGGGATGTGCTGGAAGAAAATACAAGATGCCTTTGATAGGGATGAGGAGGTTGTATCACCTTGGTAGCCTGAGATCATGGTACCTACAACAGTGCCAAAGTGATGCTCAAGTGGCCACATGGGACAGTCCCAATTCAGCAGAGATCAGTGAAAGACACCCTGGGACTAAATGGGCCCAGACACAGTTCAGCAGACATATCAAGACCTAGTTCAGCAGACATATCAAGACCTAGAGGAAGGCATAGGTACTGGGCAATGCTTCCCATCTAAGCCACATAGATATATATATCTGAATCCAAATGCAAAATTGGAAACAGGAGGACAGGATATCACTTAACAAAGAGATAAACCCTTCAACTAGACATTTATCCCAAAGAGATGGTTTTCAAATCAGAAGTGTCTGCAAGACATTTTAATTTTTAATTTTTTTTATTATGCTTTAAGTTCTGAGATGCATGTGCAGAACGTGCAGGTTTGTTACATAGGTATACACGTACCGTGGTGGTTTGCTGCACACATCAACCTGTCATCTATGTTAGGTATTTCTCCTAACACTATCCCTCTCCTAGCCCCCCACCCCGACAGGCCCCAGTGTGTGATGTTCCCCTCCCTGTGTCCGTGTGTTCTCATTGTTCAACTCCCACTTATGAGTGAGAACATGCAGTGTTTGGTTTTCTGTTCCTGTGTTAGTTTGCTGAGAATGATGGTTTCCAGCTTCATTCATGTCCCTGCAAAGGACATGAACTCATCCTCTTTCATGGCTGCATAGTATTCCGTGGTATATATGTGCCACATTTTCTTTATCCAGTCTATTATTGGTGGACATTTGGGTTGGTTCCAAGTCTTTGCTATTGTGAATAGTGCTGCAATAAACATACATGTGCATGTGTCTTTATAGTAGAATAATTTATAATCCTTTGGGTATATACCCAGTAATGGGATTGCTGGGTCAAATGGTATTTCTGGTTCTAGATCCTTGAGGAATTGCCACACTATCTTCCACAATGGTTGAACTAATTTACACTCCCACCAACAGTGTAAAAGCATTCCTATTTCTCCACATCCTCTCCTGCATCTGTTGTTTCCAGACTTTTTAATGATCGCCATTCAAGCTGGCATGAGATGGTATCTCATTGTGGCTGTGATTTGCATTTCTCTAATGACCAGTGATGTTGACATTTTTTCATATGTTTGTTGGCCGCATAAATGTCTTCTTTTGAAAAGTGTCTGTTCATATCCTTTGCCCACATTTTGACATGTTTTTTCTTCCTCTAAATTTGTTTAAGTTCTTTGTAGATTCTAGATACTAGCCCTTTGTCAGATGGATAGATATCAAAAATTTTCTTCCGTTCTGTAGATTGCCTGTTCACTCTGATGATTTTTCAGTTTCTCATGCTGTGCAGAAGCTCTTTAGTTTAATTAGGTCCCATTTGACAATTTTGGCTTTTGTTGCCATTGCTTTTGGTGTTTTGATCATGAAGTCTTTGCCCATGCCTATGTCCTGAATGGTGTTGCCTGGGTTTTCTTCTAGGGTTTTTATGGTTTTAGGTCTTATGTTTAAGTCTTTAATCCATCTTGGGTTAATTTTTGTATAAGGTGTAAGGAAGGGGTCCAGTTTCAGTTTTCTGGATATGGCTAGCCAGTTTTCCCAACACCATTTATGATATAGGGAATCCTTTCTCCATTGCTTGTTTTTGTCAGGTTTGTCAAAGATCAGATGGTTGTAGATGTGTGGTGTTATTTATGAGGCCTCTGTTCTGTTCCATTGGTGCAAGACATTTTATTAGCGTGATCAGGTAACTCCTCTATCAACAGCCATGTTCTTAGCATCTACTGCGTGACGTGTGCTGTATTTGGGTTTATAGGTAATGAAAAAAGGATTTTATTTCTACTTTCATGGAGCTCACAATTAGTTAGCAGCATATCCAAGCATCTCTCTTTCTCTAGTAGTCCATCTTCTATTGTCTAATGGATATGACCTCAGATAGCTAAACTCAACATGTATAGCACTTAATGTACCATCTTCCTTAACACTTACTATTCCACCTACATTGTTCTCTCAGTTATACCTCTCACACTCATAATTTAGGTATGCTTTTGAATCTTTCTTGCTTTTTCTGAGTTCCTCAGAGATAGTCTCCAGGTATTTCTACAATTTTCTTCCTAGAATCCTTCATATCTGCCTCTTGGCTCCATTCTCAATGCTACCACAATGGTTCAGATAACTGAATAACTGTAACAATATAATTCATCTCCATAACATTAATTTATTTCCATTCTAAGCTTAGAAAAATTCAATGCATTCAGGGTAGATTCTTAGTTATTTAGTATGGCCCTCAAACTTCTGATGTCCTGATACCCTATTATTAGTTTCCTATTGTTCCTGTAACGAATGACCACAAATGGGCTGGCTTAAAACAATTCAATTTTAATCTCTTACAGTTTTGGAAATCAGAAGTCTAAAATCAGGTGTTGGCAGAGCTGCATTCCTTCAGGAGGGAATCTGTTTCCTTGCCTTTTCTGCTTCTAGAGGCTGCCTACATTCCTTGACTCATTGACCCCTTGCTTGTATCACTCGCAATTCCTACTTCTGTCTTAACATCTGTTTCTATTCCCTGACTGTCTTTTACAAGGATGCTTGTGATTATACTGTGCCCACCTGGATAATCCTAGATTATCTCCCTCTCTCAAAATCCTTAATTAATTCTGCCAAGTCCCATTTTCTGTATAAAGTAATATTCATAAGTTCCAGGATTGGACATGGATGTCTTTGCAGGGTGTGGGGGACAATACACTATTCTGTCCACCACACCCACTAATCATTCTAGGCTATCTTATACTCTATCACTCTGTTGTAGTCAGAGTCCTCCAATTGCAAACCCATGGATAGACCTTCTTCATTCTCATTGCTAAACCTTTACTCTTAGCTTTTCCCATATTTTTAATGCTTTTGCCCACTAACATCAGCAGCTTAAATTCTACACAACCTTTCATTCTAAGCTTCTTTTCCACCTTATACTGTCTCACTGTGACTTTCTTCTTCCTGACTGATCTATCTATCTATCTATCTATTTTTCTAATCACCTATCTATCATCTACGTGTCTATCTATCTTTTTAGAGACAGAGTCTTGCTTTGTGACCTAGGCTGGAGAGCATTGATGCCATCATCGCTCCCTGCATCCTTGACCTCCTAGGCTCAAGCGATCCTCCCACCTCTGCCTCCTGGGTAGCTGGGACTACAGGCACACACCACCATGCCTTGCTAATTTTCACACTTTTTGTAGAGGCAGGGGTCTCATTATGTTGCCCAGGCTGGTCTTGAACTCCTGACTCAAGCAATATTCCCAACTTGGCCTCTCAAAGTACTGGGATTATAGGCATGAACCACCATGCCTGGCCTTCCTGACTCTTCTAATTGTTATTTTATATATCACTTGAGGAGGAAGACATTTATTATAATTTTATCTTGCATTTTGGTCATGATTATCTTAATCATGAAACAAAATTTTACTCAGAATGTATCATGGGAAAAGCATTGGTTTTTAGGTGCTAAGGGAAATACAGACATATTTAAAGATGATTCCTAACTTAACAGAATTTATAAGATGATAAGAAATCTAAAAATTATTATTAAGTCATTATAGTGTGTTAGAAAGAACATAGATTTTTGAATCATAATGTTCTGGGTTGAGTTGTAGCTCCAACCTGTGGTAACTTATTTATTTCCACTGAAACTCCAGTCATTTTATATTAAAATGGAGATATTTTCATTATAAAGTTCATTCAGTATGCAAACAAAATATACCTTGTGAAGTATCTGGCTCATAAAGGAAAGTCAAAAGTTTTCCACATGATTTTTGACATTAAATAAAGAGTCTTCGGGTGTCCAGAAGACTGAGAGAGGACATCAGGTCATGGAAGGCCATACGGAGAAAGAGAGATTTGAGTTAGACCTTGAAATCTGGATATAATTTTCTCATTGCAGATAGCAAATAGGGCCATTGTCACAGGAATTGGGTTTCTAATGACGTACACAAATAGCCTGTTTGAAGGAAGCATGGTAAATTCCGGCAAGGAAGGCTTAAAATATAGGCTGAAGAATTTGAAGGCCAGGCTAACGGTCCATCCTGTTGTCAGAAGGGATTGACCCATTCACAAACCTTGGTTTAGGCCTCATCATTTCTTACCATTGCTATTAAAAGCTCTATAAAGATAGGAACCGAGTCTGTTCATTCCTGTATCCCTAGCATCAGGGCAGGGCTTGCCACATATTAAGCACTCAGGAAATGCCTGTGAAATAAACAAATAGAAAAGCATAGGAAGATAAACATTACCTCATAGTCCACCCCCTACTTTTTTTCCATCTCAAACAGAGCCAAATAATCTAAAGATTCAGATATATATGTTGTAAACAGTTTCCAAGTTTTGGCTCTTTTTCTAAAAACTTGTAGTGATGGCTATAAATGTGAGGATACTAATTATTTGCTGTGCTGGAAGGTGGAGAAGAGACAAGCAGTTGAGTGATTTTAAAAATAAAATTGAAAAAAAAGTATCTTACCTTATGAGTTTTAGAATCATTCCTGTAAAAAATTAGCAGTCATTAATCTTATTTCTGTGATGCTAAAACTTTGCTTGGCTTGGAAGCTTATGGCAATAATTTTGTGTGTAGATGCAAGAGGATGGGTCTGATAAATAATTGAAACAAACATTTAATTTGCTGATGCTTTGTGGTATTTAAACAAATTTATATTTTTGCATAATTCATACTATTTTTCACCAAGTTTGTCTGTTCCCAGGAAATTATAATGAATCTCTGATGCATAAAATGCTTATCCATTTGTAGCTGATGAGAAAAATAAAAATAAAACAAAACCCGTAGGGGACACACAAGAAGTATCTTCTGAACATCATAGCCTAAACAGGCTTCTAATACACAAACTTTTGTTTCAGAACTTTGGATCTTGTAATCTTCTAATACACTGAAACTTTTCCATTTTCAAAATATACATTCTAATAAGTATAAAAGGAAGCAAATTTAATCATTAACAGGTAGATAACCATGGCAACATCATAGCTATGCTGCTATAACCAGCATCATTTTCTAACTGAGCTAAGAATAGCATAGCATGTTGAGAGCTTTACTTTAAATATGGTTTCTAAGATTGGAAATCTTAAGGTTGGTAAATGAGAAGTTTAAATGCCACATTATAATTGTTCAGCCAAACTTTTACATTTTCTCACAGATAATGGGAATAAATTATTGAGGTGACAATGATATCTACATCAAATGTTAATATATTTCCACCAAATTGGGCTACATCTTAAAGGAATATGTAAGATTTTAGTTGATAATTTTCCTAGTCAGGATTAGGGAAGTAGCCACTTGGGAAGTAAGAATAAATTTAAAAAGTTCTCAAAATCTTTAACTTCATTACTTCTGCAAAGTCCCTTTTGCCATATAAGGTAACATTTACAGGTTCTGAGATTAAACATGGAGGTGTTTGGTGAGGGGATTATTCTATCTAGTACACACACTACTGATTCCAGGCTATCTTCTACCATATCATTCTCTGCTGTCGTTAGACTCTTTCAATTGCGGAAAATTGGAAAAATAGAAACCTTTTTTTTTTTAAATGTTTGTGGCAGAGCTTGCATATAGATGGGGCCATGAGACTAGTTCTTTCCTGAAGAACCTGAGGCAAAATGATGAGTGTCACCATCCAGGCTGTGATGGTGAGACCAAGTGAGCTCATACCTCTTCACTTATCCCCAGTGAGATGTCCCAGTGGAGAGGATTTAACAAAGGACTCCAAGGTGCTGGAAGATGATGGATCTGAGGTCCCTGAATCACTGCATAGAACAGAGCCCTCCATCCACCCTCACTGCACTGTTACATGAGCAAGAAATATTGTATTAAGCTGCTGAGATGAAGGGGCTGTTTCTTTTAGGAATGAGCCTGCCCAGCATGGATGGAGGACTTTGAAAGTCAGGAAATCCCTCATTCTTCTGATGGCTCAGGCTCAGGAAGTGATGCTGGCACATGCTTCAGAATAGGTTCACAGGAATTCATTGCTTTCTTTTCTGTCCAAGGAAGCATTGCTGAGGCTGTGTAGGCCCTACTCATCCCTGTCTCTGCGTCTGTGCTTTGAAGGTGCCTGTCCCCAATTCACAATGGACACATCATGTGCTCTGCCTTGAGTGCCTGACATAGAGCTGAATTTGGTTGAAGTAGATTATCAAAACCATTACATGTTTACAAATTAAGAAGCTTAGATAAGCAGCCACTTAGAACCTATTAGCACTGTCTCTTTACTATTAAGGATGACACCAGTAAAATAGCTTCCTTTCTTTTCTTATTTATGAGTGTTTGATCCCTGGATTTACTTTTCTCTTTATATGGTGCAGAGATATGACAAACTCCTTTACGAAACATGAATTATTTTATTTAACTTCCTTTAATAATATACCTAATATTCAAGAAGGAAAGCAATTGGCAACCTTTCATTTAGAGTATACAATTTTTTGACATCTGGGAGTTCCGAATAAACGTTAGGAATATGTATTCTTGTGTATAAATTTTTTAGTTAGTCAAATATCTTTGTTGTACTTTTAAAATATTTCTTCAAGATATATGAAATGGGAAGAGAAAGTCATAGAATCATCTGGGTCTTGGATCATCTATCTATCTTGGGCTTACATTTAAAAAGAAAGTATGTTTTTAGTAAATTCATCTATGAAGAGGTTGCTGAGAATATTTGGAAGAAAGTGGCTCACAGGAACATGACATATAGGATAATTTAAAAGTGATCTTTCTACATAAAAGCCATTTCTCATCTAGCTTTTGGATTTACGGATACCATCTGCTTGGCTCTTAGTGAGAGGATCTGCAGCTCCAAATCTGAGCATCAGACACAAGAACGTCATACCTCTTGCAGAACTGGGAATGACAGATGATCTTTGCACAAGGCTGTGAGAGGCAGAGAAGAGTAGGGCAAAGGCAGACAGATGGGAGTAAGCATGTGTGGGTGCCTCTTCCCATCTCTTAGGGTTTTGAATGATATAATCTTTAATTTAACCTTTGAGTGCCATAGCAAGGCCAAAGCATATTCCTCAAGAATAGGTTATATATCCTCCTAAGGAATGATTGTTCTTAAGGTTCTGAATAGTTTCTAACAACAACAACAACAACAACAACAACAACAACAACCAGTGTTATAGGGAAAACTCAGCCAAAACAGTATTTAACTTTCTTTTCTCTTCAGAAGGAAAGAGGCAGATAATGAAAGTTTGCATGCCTGAGGGTGTGTGCAGCTTGGGTATAGTGGGACACATAAATAAATACTTTTTTACTACTCAAGAGTATTGGGGATATTTCAGTTATTTCTTTTGTATAACAAATCACCTCCACACCACCCTCATACCCTCAAACTTAGTGTTATAAGACAACTATTTTATTATGTCCACACTTTCTGTGGTCAGAAACTCAAACAAAGCATAGCCAGGAAGGTGTATCTTCTCTCCCCATTGCTGGCGCTTCATCTGGAAAGACTCAAAGCCTGGGTCTGTTTACCTGAGTCCCTATTTGCAGCCTCTCCATAGTGGCCTCAAGGCAGCTGAACTCGTCAGGCAGCTTAGGGCTCCCGAGTGAGTTTTCCAGCACACCAGGCGGAAGTGGCCTGAGCTTTTAGGATTTACCATCAAGTCATTGTGTCACTTCCTATGGACCCTATGTGATGGTTAATATTGATTGTCAACTTGATTGGATTGAAGGATGCAAAGTATTGTTCCTGGGTGTGTCTGTGAGGGTGTTGCCAAAGGAGATTTGAATCATTTGAGTCAGTGGACTGGGAGAGGCAGACCCACCCTCAATCTGCCAGCATGGCTAGGCTAGAATAAAGCAGGCAGAAGAAGGTAAAGGAGCAGACTTGCTGAGTCCTCCGGCCTTCATCTTTCTCCTGTGCTGGATGCTTCCCGCCCTCGAACATCAGATTCCAAGTTCTTCAGCTTTTGGACTCTTGGACTCTGGACTTACGCCAGTGATTTGCCAGGGACTCTCAGGCCTGGCAAGACTCTCAGGCAGACCGAAGGCTGCGTCGTCGGCTTCCCTACTTTTGAAGTTTTGGGATTCAGACTGGCTTCCTTGTTCCTCAGCTAGCAGATGGCCTGTTGTGGGACTTCACCTTAGTTTTTTTTGTTTCGTTTTGTTTTGTTTTTGAGACAAGGTCTCACTCTGTCGCCCAGGCTGGAGTGCAATGGCTCAATCTTGGCTCACTGCAACCTCCGCCTCCCAGGCTCAAGCAATTCTCCTGCCTCAGCCTCCTGAGTAGCTGGGACTACAGGAACACACCACCACGCCTGGCTAAAAGGGACTTCACCTTGTGATCATGTGAGTCAATACTTTTTAATAAACTCCCCTTCATATATATATATAGCTATCCTATTAGTGCTGTCCCTCTAGAGAACCCTATTACACTCTATTTGTCAAAGAAGCCACATCTTGGCCGGAATCAAGAGGAGTAGACATAGATCCCTGCCCAGCCCCGCAAAGAATTTGTGGCCGTGTTTTAAAACGGTCACAAGAGGATTAGATGCAGATGACATCTAAAATCCAAAAACATATTCATATAAATTTTTTACCATTTTAAAGATCAAGTACTTGAATATTAACTTTTCTCTTTTATCTCTCCCTTAACACCTATACCCCTACATTTTGGGTTCCTGAGAATGTCCAGTTTTTTTTTTCTTCTGTGATTTTATTTCCACTTCTGAGTGAGCTTTGGGAAATACCTACAAAGTAGCATTAAACATTGTTGTCTTTCTGTTTAACTTGTGACAAGCATGTTTACTAAGATAAGAAGTCTTACCTAGGGAGTTGGACATAGCATTGACACAGTGTTATAAATCTCATGGAAGAAAGGGAGAGGACATTGATCTAACCTGGAGAAATGGAGAAATGTCAGAGAGAAATACTGTCTGAAAGATGGCACCCAGCTGCCTCAGCCTTCCAGGCACTGACTGGATGTGCTTTTGATTTATCCCTGTCTTTGTCTTTCTTTGATCGTCTAGCTCGTGGTTTCCGTCTAATATTCTAGAAATATTCTCCAAGTCTGATCATTGGTCATATCATTGAAAAACTTCAGATCTAGCTTTCTCTGACTTTGTGCTTGCAGCCTTCCTTGTGTATGTGACACGTTGTCCAGCTCTTATGAATCCTGGTGTCTCTCTGCTCTCCTGTCATGGGCGATGATTTCCCCCTGCCTGACAATGATGGAGCCTCACCCTCCCCATGGTCCAGCATGACAGAAAGGAACGCAAAGCTGAAATATTTCCACATTAACTCTGGCCAGATGAAAGGAAAAAGATGGAGTAGTAGAGATTTTGATCATCAGTTTTCTTTAGTGCTTTTAAAGTTTTAGTTCTGTTATGTGATAGGGCCACACAGTCCCTTGGGATAAGCAGTACTTAAAGAAAAATGCCCAGCCCTACTTTTTTTGATTTGCATGTGAAATGTTGTTTTTTGTTTGTCTGTTTGTTGCTACCAAAATGATTTAAATGGATTTTACCTGTTGCTATAATTGTATAATTTAATTTTATGGAAAGTGAATGAAATGTGAATGGACAAAGAGTTGTGACTTCTTGGAAAAATAAATGAAATGCATTAATTGCTTCATTAAATGCTTTATTGAGATAAATCTGTAAAATCAAGCAAGGGAGAGAGAAGTTTGAAAGATTATAAAATTATTGTAAAATTGTAGGAGGATTCTGCATTAAGTTTGCTTCGTCATCTGATATTTATCTTTTCCTCAATAAATGGTAGTTATTGTTTATTGTTTTGAAGAATTAGTAACCAGGTAGACAAAAAGTTAGTGCATATCAGGTTCCTTTTCATTTATCAGCAGACTGACACTTGAAAGACAGTTTGGATGAGAGGATGGAGATTAGGTTTAACTTCCAAGGCATGGGAAAATGTGTCTCTAACAAATATTTTAAAATATCTTCTCGGGAGGCTGTGTTGATTTTCCCACACTTTGATGGAGTCAATCTTTCAGATAACAATTAAATATCTGCTTGAATAATATTCTCCAAGGAGAGCATCATAGGCCAAATTTATTGTATTAAAATTTTTTATACTCTAAAATTAAACAAAGGAGTTTGACATTACTCAACTAGGTTAAATTATTAATTTACAGGGTATCCAAGTGATTAAATGGAAAGTCATGAGAATTGCACAGAACAATGGGATTTTCACCAACCACCCTATTTAAAATTGCAACCCTTACCCCACCCTTCATTCATAGTTCTCCCTACCCTCTTTCCTGATCTACTTTTTGCCATAACAATTATTACCTTCTTATACACCATATAATGTCCTTATTTATTTTATTGCCTATCTTCTCCTACAGTCAAGATTATATATTTACACACACAAATTCATCAATCAATAAATTTGTGAATGAAGTAAAAATGTGAGTTAGTTATATTACTAATTAATAGAACTTTCCCAGTAGATAAAGCTTGCCACGAAGTTACTCGAGGATTAGATAAAATACATACACACATTCTCTCTAAATCATAAGGTGATATGTAGTAAGAAGAATCAGTGGTAAATACTTATGTTTATTAGGATAGCTTTGAAGATGATGTTGAATTCAAGAAACAAATCCATCTCAAAATGACTTAAACAATATTTATTACTTCATATAACAAGAAGTTTCAGAAACAGTGTAGCTCCATATTGTTCAGTTTAGGAGTCCAGTGAACATATCATGGACTCAACTTCTCTGAATCTTTATGTTCTTTCGTCCTCAAACTATGAGATCTACTCTCAGGATTCAAAGAAGCTGCAACAATCCAGGCATCACAGCCAAATGCAATCACATTCAGAAAAGGAATAGACTTTTTCTGTGTGTTTCCTTTTAAAAGTTAGGAAATATTTCCTGGAAGTTATTAGTTATCCTCATGTCTCATTGGCCAGAATTGTACCACATGCCTATGATACTAACCAATCATTGGTGAGGAGAATGAGATCACCGGGGTTGACTAATTAGGACTTACTCTCGGAGTTAGGCTTATCCTGAAGCACACAGCCATGAGAAAAGGGCTAAGAACTGGAACAAAATGGATTTCTTTGGAGTAGAAAAGAGGGGTAAGAACAAATGTTTGGTAGTGTCTGCTACAATATTAAATGCATTTATATGTGAAGCTAAGGCAAAATAATAACGGGATTGGTTGACGAAATAAAAATAGTGCTTTAACTCAAATCTAGAAGTCAGGAGAGGGAGGCAGTATGAGAGTAATATTTTCTTATCTTTCATAGGGGAGAGTCAATTGACATTGTTGGTACTTGAAGTATATAGTTTAAAACAACATAATGGAACCGAATCTTTTAATGATTTTTGGATTTTTCCATAACCTTAACCAACTAATTCTTTGTCAGAAGACACTTGCTTGTCTGACTTCTATTAATTTTATTTCAATTTATTTTTCTAGTGTTTAAAGTAAAATTACATTTTTATTTAAATATTATTTATATTACAAAATTATTTTATAAATGTATCCATATATCTTTTTTTATTCTCCATATATTTGTACACAAATTAATAGCTGGAATGAAGTTCATCAAATGTTAATGAGATGTATTTTTAATTATTGACATTATATATATTTGCTACCTGTTTTGTACTCTTCTGAATAGCTTAAATATTTTGGAATGGGAATGTTTCATTTTTATGAAAATGATAACATTGTTTTAAAAAAGTAAAATAAAAAAGACAAGTAGACATATAAAATTGTAAAGGTATCTCCATATTGTTAAGTTCAATAAGCAAATTGTTAAAAAAAAAAGTGTAGTACAATCTCAATTTGTCAAAAAGGGGGAGGGGGCTATATTATTAGAGAAAAAATTTCTAGACATTTGTGTATCACACAGATGACAATGTTTATCTTTGGGTACAACGCTGGTTTATGGGGACTTTGACTTTACACATATTTCTGTAGTGTTTGAATTATTCTTCAATGATTGTACAATTCTTTTGAATTAGAAAATATAATAAGTATAAATGTAGTAGTAATGATTAATCTAATCCCTGAGTCCTGTTCATTAGATTATTGACCCTAATGAAGCTGTAAGCCCCTGATTCCCAGCTGCCTCTGTAAAAGCCACCATCAACCTCAGTCATTCTCTGCTGCTTGAAACAGTTCCTGTTGAATCACTCTGAGGCTGGAGAAGTCAGTCACAGGTGCCTCCTCACCTGGGGTAAATACTGGCTCACTTAATTGTTGCTGGGGCCAATTTGAAGGGAAGCATGATGCAATAATGCTTGTGTCTAAGCCTGTGTGCTTAGACTCCCTGCTCTGCCCTCCTTGCGCTCTATCAGAAGGTGTCTGGGCAAGAGAGTACTATGGCTGCACTCCAAATAGTGACCCTAAATCATTACAGTAAAATTAATAATAAAATTATTACCTCCCTTCTAGTGTCCTGAAGGTATCATAGATAAAGGGCAGAAATGTGCAGGCAGGTGGAGTTCCTTACAACTGAGCCTATTGGATCTTAAGATACAGGGGTTTTGAGGCATTGGTTTCCTGAAGTAAGTGTTGCACTTTACGTCTAGTCTTTTCCCTGGTATTTTTGACTACTGCTCCACAGTTGATTTGGAATATTCAGTTTTCAATGGAAAATTGTTTCCTAAATGCTTAAACATATTAAATATGAGAGTTATAGAGTATCAGCTTTAGGAGCACCTGGCACACATTTTTAACTTTCCACTGAAATATCAATGGCTATACACAGAAAGACAAAATAAAGCACACACCACCACCAAGACACTTTCAGACAAGTTGTTACCATATCTTTGTGGCATTTCACAAACTATAAAGATGAGAGAACTACATTGAGAATTACTGGCCTTGAGGAAACAGAGTGCAAAGAAACATGGCAGTGAGAGTAGGGATTCATTCTACCTGTATTAGTTTCCTAGGACTGTTAAAAAATACCACAAACTGCATGGCTTAAAACAACATAAGTTTATTCTTTCATAATTCTGGAGGATAAAAGTCTGAAATCATGGTGTTGGTAAGGCCACGCTCCCTCCAAAGTTTCTAGGGAAGAATCCTACTGTGCCTCTTCCTAGCTTTTGGTAGCTTCTGGCAATACTTGGCGCTTGGCCTGTAGATGCATCACTCCATCTTTGCCTCTGTTTTCACATGGCTTTCTTCCCTGTATGTATCCAGTCATTGGATTTAGAGCTTACACTAATCCAGTGTGAGTTCACCTTAACTTCTGCAAAGAACCTCTTTCTGAGTATGGTAACATTCACAGATATCAGGGACTAGGACTTAAACTTATCTGTTTGGAGACACAATTTAACCCATGACACTAACTGAAACCAAAAGAAATACATTGAGTTAATGCATATTAGATGCTGTGTTAAGTAATTTTCACTAAGTAAGGCAGTGGTAACAAACCACCCCTGAATTTTCAGTGGCCTGCAATAATACAGGTTTATTTATGTCTAATGTTGCATGTCAACTATGGGTCTGTAAGGCCCTGAAGGCTTTGCTCTACATGTCTTCTTCATTCCTGGATTCAGGATGAAAAAGCAGTTGTAATTTCTGACACTGTTATGGGTTGAATTATGATCCCCTCCAAATTCATATGATGAAGTTCTAATCCCTAGTACCTCAGAATGTGACCTGATTTGGAAAGAGAGTCATTGCAGATACAATTAGGTAAGATAGGCCCTAATGCAATATGAACGGTGTCTTTATAAAATGGGGAAATTTGGACACAGAGACAGACACACACAGAGGCATGTTGATCTAAAGAGTCAAATTCTGTAAAATATTTGAAGAGATTTATTTTGAGCCAAATATAAGTGACCAGCGGCCTGTGACACAGCCCCAGGATACCCTGAGAACATGTGCCCAAGGTGGCAGGGCTACAGCTTGGTTTTATACAATTTAGGGAGACATAAGACATCATCAATACATGTAAGATGTACATTGGTTCTTTCTGGAAAGGCAAGACAAAGTGGGGGCTTCCAGGTGATAGGTGTACTCAAAGATTTTCTGATTGGCAATTGGTTGAAAGAGTTATTAAGACCTGGAATCAATAGAAAGAAATGTCTGGGTTAAGATAAGGGGTTGTGAGAACAAGGTTTTTTCACGCGGATGGAGCCTCCAGGTAGCAGGCTTCAGAGCTCTTATCAGACCTAAATCGGTGCCAGACTCTGTTAATTCTCTCCTGAGTCAGGGAAGAAACCTGGAAAGGAACAGGGATTCCCTACAGAATGTAGATTTTCCCCACAAGAGATACCTTTGCAGAGCCATTTCAAAATATGTCAAAGAAATATATTTTGGGGTAAAATACTTCTATTTCTTTCAGGGTGTACCAATGATCTGTCAAGTGATGCGACACTAGAATCAGGCTGGAATTTGGCGTCTTACGGCTACAAAAGTGTTTCATCAGTCTTCAGGTCTCTGTGCTGATGTTAATGCTGGTCAGCTGTGCCTGAATTCCAACGGGAGGAAGGTATAATGAGGCACATCTTACCCCTATTTCCCATCATGGCCTGAACTGGTTTTTCAGCTTAATTGGAATGCCCTTGGTGAGAGGAGGGGTCTATTCAGTTGGTTGGGGGTTTAGAATTTTATTTTTGGTTTACAGGAAAGATGATGTGCAGAGACACAGGGAGAAGACGGCCATCCACAAGCCAAGGCGAGAGGCCTGGACAGATCTTTCCCTCACAGTCCTCGGAAAGAACCAATCCTTTGAACTTCTTGATTGTGGACTTCTAGGCTCCGGAAGTGTGAGGCAATAAATTTATGTTATTTGAGCCCCAGTTTTGTGGGTACCTTATCTGGCAGGTCTAAGAAACGAACACAGACATGCCAGTCTCATGGCAGAGGGAAAAAAGTATATGCATGGAAATATTCAGTGGTTTTTCAAGCTTCTGCTCAGAACTAGCTTACATAATTTCCCCTCGCTCTCCCCTGGCCAAACCTAACAATGGGGTGACTCTGATTGGAATCTAGAGGAACCACAGATGCATATGTCTGCTAAGTGCTGAGGAACAGGAAGGATGGGGCCTGGAGAGAAAAACAAAGGCAAATTTACCCCAGTTTTCAGGGGCTTCGGTAGATGAAGCTCTGCTAGAGGAGAGACCTGTAATAAACACAATCTCCAACATGAAGCGAGCTGGGTTTTCTCTAAAGCTGCATCCATCCCAAGTCAGCTCAACTCCTGATTAGAACCAGGTGATCGGCCCCTCACCTTATTTGCCAGACAGAGGAAAGGCAAGCCCTGTCTGAAAAAAGGGGGGATAATTTTGACTTTAGTCTCTACTATCCTTTTATAGACAATGTCTGAAATAGAGACAGAGAGAGACAGAGAGACAGAGAGAGGGAGAGAGAGATGAAATGAAGTAGGAAGATGTGACCATAACCAAGAACAAATATAATTAGGTATTAGGTTTGGAGCTAGACAGTTTTGGCCCTACAGTTTTTTAGGCCGATCATTTTAGTCATCTGTGTTAACTCAGTGTCCCCGCAGGCAACTGAGTTTGTGACCTACTACTCCCTCATTAGAACATGAAGCTTATGTTCAATATATAGGAAGAATGGGAAAATAATATAAATTTAAAATTCCAAAGTGTAATTATATTTTTAATCATGTGCTTTGAAATGATCAGGACCAAAAGGAAACTGAAGAAAACTCTTTAGCATCTTCAATAGCTATCCCATGTATTTATCTGTTCAACAAGTATACGCTAGGCATTGTGCTAAGTGTTAGAAATTTGGGAATGAACAAGACAGACCCAGGTTATGTTCCAGTGGAGTTTAGAGTGCAACAGGCAGAACCATTAACTAAATAAGGAAAATGAAGGCAAAAGGCTAAGGTAACTACAACAACTACAAAATAGAGTGCTAAGACCAAAAATGGTGTTTATGGTCCCCAGAATGTAGTGAGGGTGGGATTCCTCTGGAGGGCACTGCTCTGTCACGTGAGTGGGTATGTGGGTCATTGGCCACAGGGGATATGATCCCTATCTCTTCTTATGAAACTGCTTTCACTTAGGAAGACTCACTCCCAGGAAAGATGGGATCCCTCCAATCCCTCGTTGTTTCAGCTGGAGAATCGCCTCAGATTTCTGAATAGAAATACCTGAGAGCCCGGTGAGGACCTATGCCTCTGCCCCTATTCCCCAGAGTACCACTGCTCCTCAGTTCTTGGATGTCGGAAGCCTTGACTAGCTTTAATTCTCTGTTGTTTTTGGCCAAAGTGAGAGAGTTTCTACTAACATATCCTTATTCTCTTTTCTGCCCTGGTGTCTAACAGTTTATTCTGCTTATTATGCCCGTATCTTTACTCCTCTAAACTTAACAGTACTGATAATAATGGCACCAGATGACCCAGGTAGAGCATTTACCACATACAGGCACTGCTCTAAGGAGTTTCCATATGTTAATTCATTTTATCCTCACAACACCTGGGTGTAATGCTCCTTTATTATTAATTTATTATCATATAACACTATTATTTATTTTATATTCTCATCATTATTGATCTATTCTGGCCTTCAAGACCTTATGTTTCCTTTAATATCCACATAACCCATTTCCTCAGAGCTTAACCTTTCCCCTGAGGATTATTTTTCTTCCTCCAGTTTAATTAGTCTGTCTTTCTTGATTTATTTTCATGTTTCTACTGCTTCTGTTCCGAGATGAAGGCTGAACCAATTTTTTAAAAAGCCACTGTCAAGTCTTCCTTGACTTCTGAGCAAACTTGATTCCTAGAGGCAGAATGTTTCAAGCACAGGCCTTTTAAATTACCTTTTTTCTTGGTTCTGCAATATTTCAGTTGAGCCTAAGAAGTTAGCATTTGTTTCTATACTAAAGGCCCTATTTATTTTTATTTTTATTTTTTTGGTGAAATAAACCACTCTTCTGTGAATTCAGCTACAACTTGTGTCTTACACCATTTTTAAGCCATTTCAGAACTTATGCAATTAAAAAATCCAGAGCCAACTTGAGATTATATGAGGGATAGAGTTTTAAGCATTTGTGGACAAGAGCTTAGCTAAGCTAAGCTTATATCCAAGCGTAGCTCCTCCACTATTTCCTATTTTTCATGAATGAAATTCCGAATGACATGAAACATCACAGTATTTGGAGAAATCTATGCCACTCTCTACTTTGGCCTCACATTAACAAGTTCAAGCTAAGATTCCACACTATTTTTCTGTAGTTTCTGTAGAACACAGTTGTAATTTAAGATTTGATCTAATTGGCAAAACAATACAAAAAAAACCCAAGTGAAAGCTTCAAATAATTTATGCAACTCCCAAATATCTAAAAAGCATGACATGAGAACACTTTCCTGTGTAATCAAGTCCTCCGCTTACTATGGCCCCATGGCCGCCCGTACCTGCTCGGGTTCCCTCCACCCCTCAAACTGCATTTTTTTGCTAAGGTGCCTGTGTGGTTTCAATGTGAAGCAATGGCAGTATGCACCTGCAGATGCCCAGCAGCCTGAGAAATTGAGATATGCTGAGACCAAGGCACCCTGTGCTTTTGCTGAGGCCTGCTTGAATATTCCTAAACCCAGTGAAGAGGTACAAAACAACTACTTGCCTGTGAACAAAGTTTCCATAAACTTCAGTGACATGTCAAGGAAAAACAAATCCATGCAGTTTTAAACTCTCCACTTTCTGCTCCAGTGTCCAATCTTTTATTGTTACTTTGTCCCTCAAATTCAGCTTTGTATATATATATTTTTCAAGTTTCAAACAGATTTTGGAGTTTTAGGATGCCCAATGAATGACACCTTGCTTTCTCTACCCAAGATTGAACCAATTGGAGAGACAAAACAGTGAAAGACAGAGAGCAAAATATTACTTCTATTACTGAGGAAGGGTTTTGGGTGACCTCTGTGAGTGGCAACAGTGGGCTTTCTAACTTTGAACATTAGAACTAGGCAGACCTGTGCACTGGGTCCCAGGCAGTCCTGGAAAGCCCTATGCCTCCCAAATTAAGCTGTTCCTTTAAAACTTACAGCAAAGAAGAACAGATGAGACGAGACGAGCACTTATGGTATCTATAACAGCCGGACAGGGACACTGTGGAAAGAGTTAAGCTGCACATGCTCAGTTCCTTACCCCAAACTCACCAATCAGCCATTCCTCATCCCTAGGGCTAGAAGGACCATGAGGGCAAGAGTGCCAGAAGTGGTTGGCAGTGGAGCTCCATCCGCACAGAGGGAACTAGCATGAGTGAGAAAGTGTGTCCCCCTGCTTACAATTTAATAGGGAAAACACTAACAATGGTGCTAATTAGGCAAAGGACAATATAAAATAGAGATTTTTCTATAGAAAATCAGGCAAAAGACATAGACAACAGAAGAAATCCAAAGTATAAAGAAATAGCTGAAAATTGTTCAATTCCACTTGTAATAAAATAATTGAAAATCAATTATGATACTGTTTTTCCACTAAAGTAGTGAAAATGTTATAAAATTTCTAGAAATTATTTCAATCAAGATATTTAATGTGTTTTAATGCATTAAGTTCATTTCTGGAAATACGGTAAAAGTAAATGATGATAATATGGACAAATATTTAAGGACAAAGATGTTTCTTGTAGTGTAATTTATACTAACAAAAATGTGATAATAACCTCAATATTTAACTGTGGAATACTGGTGAATTAATTGTAATGATGGACTATTATGTGGCTATCAACATTAATCTTTAATAAAATTTAACAACTTTGAGCAATGCTCATGATTAAAGATTAACAAATCAAGATATACAGATCTCTCTGTGTGTATATTTAATAATGCAAACTATGAGCATCTGTCTGTATGCCTAGCAAAGCATAGCAAGAAATATATAAAATATAAACCCTACTTTGTTTAATTTTAATTTTTCTCTTTATACTTTTATAGAAATTATTTTATATTACTATATAATTGTTAATTGCATATACATTAATTTTCTACAACAAGTATATGTTACTCTTTTACAATTAGGAAAACACAAACACTTAAAATGTCATGAATTTTAACACAGTTTAGCCCACAGTCATCAATTACACTCCATAGAGCAGAAACCATCATCAATTGCACTCCATAAAGCAGGAACCACAGGAAGTAGGAGGCTTTTGGGGAGCAGCAATCAGAACCACAGAGCAGAACTGAAGTGAAGTAGAGGGTGATTCAGTATCAAACCATGGCTTTTAGCCATCAGCATCATTATAGTCATAGTGAGTATTCATCTAATTCTTACTGCATCCCACACAAAGTCTTCAGAACCTTGCATGAAATAACTCATTAAATCCTCACAACTCTATGAGAGTGGTACTATTTTATTAGTTTTAGTTTATAGTTGATAAAACTCTGAGGCAAAGTGAGAGTTTTAACCTGTCTGAGTTCAGATAGCCAGTAAGTACAGAGAGCAGTCTCTTATTTAGAGCAATCATATCCTAGAGTCTGTGCTTTTAATTCCACTGCCTCTGTGCTGGCATTTGTTCCCCCATGTTATGGTCCAGGAAGGTATTTTTGGTACAGTGGGTACTCTCGTAGGTTCTTTCCATACAATAATCTTTATCACCTTATTCATTGTGAGGTCCCCAGAAGTTTGATAAGAGTCAACTCCAGGATATTTGAATCTAAATTCCACGTTCTTCCTACCTGACCATGCAGAATACCAGAATAACAATTCTCTTTTTGTTATTATGAGAGTGAATTTTCTCATTAGTAGGACAGTTACACTAAGAGGCCAGCTTTGCTTTGTGTCCTGTGTAGTATCTTGGTACACACACTCCTGATTATGAAAGAGTTAAAATTTTGATTCATCATGAACCATTTGTGTTCTATTTTCAAAGTAGGTTAAGAAATAATAATTTTCTCATTAGTAGGACAGTTACACTAAGAGGCCAGCTTTGCTTTGTGTCCTGTGTAGTATCTTGGTACACACACTCCTGATTATGAAAGAGTTAAAATTTTGATTCATCATGAACCATTTGTGTTCTATTTTCAAAGTAGGTTAAGAAATATAATGTAATATAATTAGAAGATATTTTAAATATCATTATTTAGTTGGATTGTGAATACTGCTTAGAGAGAATTGGACACAAGAAAATCAACTTCCAAAGTTGAAGGAACATATATTCCCACCTACCTCGTTACTTAAAAAAAGTAGTCATCAAATTTTGTAAGTAATTTGTATAGATTAAAATAACCCAGTGAAAAATATTAACTCTTTCAGTATCCTGAGCTTTCATATGCCCCTTATGAAAGGTAGCCAGATATGCCATTCAAACGCAGTCTGAAAATAAAGGAACCTCCTTTCTTTGTGTCATAGTAGAAGCCAGCTTTAAGAAGCCCTGAACACACTGTCAATACATAATGAGTTGAGAATAAATTGAAAAGCGAAATAAATGACAGCTCATTACTTTCACTGATGAAAACAAATTAATTATAGCAACTGGCTGGCAGAAATAATGCTGTACAAGGCAGGCAAATACAATCTATTTAAGTAGCTCATTGATTGCAAAAGAAATTTAGATCATATGAAATTTTATTAAGGCGCACTAGACGCTTAGAGTCTTTGTTACCACTGACAGCTTCATACTGTGTGTTCTCATAGTACTGTATATTTTCCCAAATATTTTGCCTTAGTAAAAATTATAGGGTTTATAGTGCTTTAAATGCAATCTGTGGACCAACTCTTGTGCTACAAGTCCCCCCACTTCTTGCAACACACTGCCGCCTTAATGGTGTCAATTCTTAGCCATTCAAAGAAAGAAAATAATTTTCATGATATACTGGGTGATTTTCTCTTTTCTCAATTAGATAAGCAACCTGTTATTAAACTAATATGTTCATGAGAAAACTTTAATTTTGAAGATACTATCTTAGACAACTTGCAAATGGAAATTAGGGAGGATACACCAGTGAAATGAATGGATGATTAAATATCAGACTAGATTAAAGTCATTCCACCAGACTCCAACGTGGAGAGATGATGATATTGAAGAAGAGCTGACCCCCACTCAATGCTTCCCTGCACCCCACACCCCAACAGAACATGGTTGCAACTCTAGGGAAATTGACTTATGTTAGGTTTCTGCTTCTTAGAGGAATAAAGACTAAAAAGAATAAAGTTTCAGAAAAAATAAAATTTACGGTTTTTTGGTATTTAAGTTTGCAGACCAGTAAGGGAGAGAAGAATAGACAGTTAACAGATTTTACACACACACACACACACACACACACACACACACACACGCACACACAGAAACACATGGTATAATGCTACTGAATTTCAGGAGGTATCTCTAAATTATGTGAGCAAGAAAGGCCTATCTGAAAAGGTGATATTTAAGATGAAACAGCCATGTGTTGCTAAATGATGGAGATATATTCTGAGAAATGTGTCCTTAGGTGATTTCATCATTTTGTGAACATTATGGAGTTCACTTACTTACACAATCCTAAACCTAGATGGTACAGTCTATTACATGCCCAGGCTGTATGGTATAGTCTATTGCTTCTAGGCTACAAACCTGTGCAGCATGTTCCTGTACTGAATACTGTAGGCAATTGTAACACAATGAGAAGTATTTGGGAATCTAAACGTATCTAACATAGAAACGGTACAGTAGAGATACTGTATTATAATCTTATGCGACTACCAGACTACCATCATACATGTGGTCTGTTGCTGCCTGAACCATCATTATGGTGAACGACTGGATGTCATAAAGATTTTGAAAGAAAGAACATTCTTGGCAGAAGCTACAGTACATGGAAAGCTTTGAGGCAAGACAGACGTTGTGCTTAGAGAATCTGTAAGACACTTGTGTGTGTGTGTGTGTGTGTTTGTATCATAGTGAGAGAGGATGTGAGTGGAACAGGATGAGAGGAGACACATTTCCTTCCCAGAATATTCCACCCTCTGGTAGCACTGCAGAGGTAAATTTAACTTAACCAGACCCCTCACCCAACTTCAGTCATATTCTTTCTCTTGGAAATTTAGAATTGGGACACAGATTCTGGGGCAGTCAGGGGCCGTGGGGAGCTGTGCTGCACTGTCACATTGTGTGGGCCAGTGTCAGCCTCAGGGGGAGTCAGAGCCATGTGGAAGTCAATGTCATGGAAAGTCAGAAACAGCAGTTTTCAAGAAAAGGCTTTATTATTTATTTTTTATTTTTTTCAGAGAGGACAAAGGAGCACATGCTCAAAAAGAAGTAGATTGGGAGTGCCTGCGGACCCAGAGACTGACCATCAAAGAAGGTAGTTGCCTGACTATTTTTCTGTGCTCCTGCTCTTCATACCCCGTGTGAGTCTATGGTGGACTCCTCCCTCCCAATTTTGGTCTGCTTAGCACTCATTTCTTCTGCAACTTATGAACTCTGGTGAGACTGTTAATTGTAGTGTCTTTCTGGCCTTTTGGTCCAGGGATGGGCATGTGACCCAGTGAGGGTTCCTCCTAGATTTGGCATATGGACACTGGGAGAAAAAGCTCTCTCTTCGTTTTGAAGCATGAGCAATAAGGGATGTAGGTTTCCAAAGGAGCTCCTTTCTGCCATGTGTTGAGAGGTTGCCAGTAGTAAAAGGATGAGGCCAAAACACAACAGAAGCGTAGACAAGTAAAGCTGAGTAGTTGAGAAACAGACAGAGAGCCCATACAACAGTTAGAGATTCAACACACATTAGCAAAAATCTCATCCTTCTACTTAAACTATTTTGAGAGAGCCTCTGTTCTTTGCAAATAAGTTGTCCTTAGTGGAGTACTCTGCAATCATTGAATTCATTTTTTTGTTTTCATTTTGCAGACAGGAAAGTTAAGGCTCAGAGTGGCCAAGTGACTTCCTCATGACATTTCAGCATTGACTTGTGGCCTCCCAATCACAAACCTGGACCCTGTGAATACCAAAATCTGGGGATACTCAAGTCCCTTATATAAAATGGTATAATGGTGCATAGCCCATGCACATAATCTCTAGATTACTTATAATATCTAATACAATGTAAGTGGTATGTAAATAGTAGTTATACTTTATTGATTTTTATTTGTATTTTTAGCTGTTGTATTGTTATTGTTTTTTATTCCCAAATATTTCCCATCTGCCATTGGTTGAATACAGGATGCAGAACTGGAGGATATGAAGGGCTGAGTGTAGTTAGTAAATTCATAGATAAGGATCTTTCTTATCAGAATCAAATAAATGCAAATTAAAAAACAAAAATGTAATGTCTTAGCTACTGAATTTATTTTCCCTAAAATTAACAATACCTAATACTAGAAGCAGCATCTTCAAAACTGGTTGTTGGTCTAGGAGACTGTGGTTAAATTTCTTTTTTAGTCTTGAAGGCTTCATAATGCCCACAATATATTTATTTTCTCTCGTCTTTGGGAAAAGAAAATCTGTGACTTTTCCTATTATTCTGAAGTAACTCCCACAAAGACTTCAATGCACCTTCCTCAGAAAGACAAATTTTGCATCATTGCAACAATAAGTATTTATACTTTGTAAGGCTTGCAAACTTCCATTGAGAAAGCATTGCTCAAAATATTTGCCAGTTTGCGGTTTAATGACACCTCAAGTGACATTATGTCTTTGCTGTCACTCACATTTCCTAGAAGAATTTTTAAGGGATGGAAAGAAATCCTCCAGGTTGTAATAGAACCCCAGTTTTGAGGGGTTTATTATTTTGGACCTACAAAATAATTATAATCAGACAGCTTAAATCAGTGTGGTAATATTTGCGTGCTGTACTGTAATACTGTTTTGCATAAAGAATAAAGGGACAATGAAATAACACTTTGATTGTTTTTTCTAATACTTGAAATTTTAAAATATTTGCTTCATTGTGTATTTTTCAAAATGCAGACATTAGGCCTGGCTTAAACAGTGATCCTGTTTTGGTAGGCATTCAATAATATTGCACGTGGCACCATCCTTTGGAAAATTGTTTTATGTATCAATAACTTAAAAATATTATGGGCTAGGTGTAGTGGCTCACGCCTGTAATCCCAGCACTTTGGGAGGCTGAGGCGGGTGGATCACCTGAGGTCAGGAGTTTGAGACAAGCCTGGCCAACATGCTGAAACCCCGTCTGTACTAAAAATACAAGAAATTAACTGGGCATGGTGGCACGTGCCTATAGTCCCAGCTACTTGGGAGGCTAAGGAATGAGAATCACTTGAACCAGGGAGGCGGAGGTTGCAGTGAGCTGAGATCACCCCACTGCACTCCAGCCTGGGAGACAGAGGACAGAGTAAGACTCCGTCTCTCTCGCTCTCTCCCTCTCTCTCTCTCTCTCTCTCTCTCTCTCTCTCTCTCTCTCTCTATATATATATATATATATATATATATATATATATATATATATATATAAAATGGCCAGCAATCTGTCAAAAAATTTAGTATAAATTTTAGAAAAACTTAAATGAATGAACTTGCCCATTGCAGTAGTATTTATAGTGATGAGTGGTATCTACTGAGATTCACACACTGTGCTGAGGACCTGCAAGTGCTACTACTTAATATAAATAAAGTAGGCACCATGATGGCACTAACACACACACACATACACACACACGCAGAAAGAGAGAGAGAGAGAGAGAGAGACAGAGAGAGAGACAGAGAGAGAGAATTTATTTTAAGAAATCAGCTGACATGATTGTAAGGCTAGCAAGTCCAAAATCTGTAGGCTAGGCTGGCAGGCTGGAGACCCAGAAAAGAGTTGCAGTTCTTGTTTAATTCTGACAGTCTGCTGGCAGAATTTCCTGTATGCATGTTTGTGTCCTAATACCCCCTTCTAATGAGGACATGGGTCATACTGGATTAGGGCTCACTCCAATGACATCAGTTAACCTTGATTACCTCTTTAAACATCATATCTTCAAATACAATCACGTTCTGAGCTACTAAGGGTTAGGACTTCAACATATGATATTTTGCATGTGTGTGCATGAACACACAATTCAGTCCATAACCAAGGTCCATTCATTTATTCAACAAACAGTAATTGAGCACTTACCATGTGTCTTTCTGTGTGAGGTGTTGGAGAAACATTATTATATTTAATACCATGCAGCTAATTAGTGATAGAAACAAATTTGATATTGCTACTAAACATTAGGTTGTGCTCTTAGGCATTCAAATGTCTTATAATATTAATAGCAAAAATCTGAAAATGAGCTAATTATTAAGTCAAAAATTGTATAATCTCTTGTTAGACTATTACACAATTATAAAAGCTGATTATTAAGATAAGAAATGTGGAAAACTGTTTTTGGCAGAAACAGAAAATGCAGGTTATGTATATGTATATTTCTATATTGGAATTGTGTCTGTGTAAAACTGCATAGGAAAAAAGAGTAAAAGGAAATACATGAAAGTATTAATAGTGATTTTATTGGAGTAGTAAGTACTATTGGTATTTTTTGTTGTTTCTTTATTTTCAAAATTTTAGAAGCATACTTCTAAAAATTCCCTAAAGACTAAATAATAAAAAATGATTGTTTATTACTTTATAAGGCTCTTAAGATTGAATAAGTAACTTTGACATGGCAAAATCTCATATACTGGTTAATAAAGAGCTATTAGTATTAGAACTATAATAGGAATAACAGTACTTTTCATATTTAATGATATTAACAATTGCTTCTTGGTTTTTTTGGCAAGATCAAGTGTAATGATATTAATAATAACTGTCTGTGTTGCAAGTTGACAAGACTCATTGTCATCAGTATCTAAGTGATCCAATTCCTTCATTTCTTGACCCCAAACTCACTAATTTTATTCTTTAGCTCTATTTACTTTAAATACGCTTAATTGCTTTAATGCATTCAAAAAGCCCATGGTATTTAAAAAAATCATTTTTTATGTTTCTTTCACTTTTAATTATGGAATATTAATCAGGTCTTTGGGAAGTTATAAAATGGTATAATAGAAAAAAAGAATATATTTTTCTGGCTTCCATAAATTTATTTACATTACTCTTTTTGTAAGAGGTAATTATTCTTATTTTGGTAGTTTAGTTACAAAGCATATATCTTTCCTAACATTAATGATCTTCATTGTCCTTCTACAGGATATTTCATATTCAACTATAGTCTGTTACAACCAAATTTTTAAAAATCACAAATTACGATTATTTAATATTCAATAGGCACCTGCAATGTTCTGACTACTGCATCTTCTCCATAGCAAGAAAGCCGGTGAGTTGTGTTAAATTACAACATCCCAGCTGCTACCAGCTGCCTGGATCTTATCCCTTAGCCTCTTACTAATCTTTACCCATTCACTAATTTCAACAGAGGGCTGGTCTTAAGTAGCACACTTGTATAAGAATATTATATTGTAGGACACTACAGAATACAACAAAGAGAGGAATGTAAACATCTTTCAAATGAGTGATTGTGTGGTATACCACGGTGTATTAGTCCGTTCTCACACTGCTATAAAGAAATACCTGGGGCTGGGTGCGGTGGCTCACGCCTGAGGTGGGTGGATCACGAGGTCAGGAGATCGAGACCATCCTGGCCAACATGGTGAAACCCTGTCTCTACTAAAATATAAAAAAATTAGTCGGGCGTGGTGGTGCGCGTCTGTAGTCCCAGCTACTCGGGAGGCTGAGGCAGGAGAATTGCTTGAACCCAGGAGGAGGAGGTTGTGGTGAGCTGAGATCACACCACTGCACTCTAGCCTAGCACCAGAGCAAGACTCTCTCAAAAAAAAAAAAGAAAAGAAAAAAAAAAAGAAATATCTGGGACTGGGTAATTTATAAAGGAAAGAGGTTTAATTGACTCACAGTTCCACATGGCTGAGGAGACCTCAGGAAACTTATAGTCATGGCAAAAGGCAAAGGGGATATAGGGCATGCCTTACATAGCAGCAGGAGAGAATGAGCACAGGGGAAACTGCTATTTTTAAAACCATCAGATGTCATGAGAACTCCCTCTCTATCATGAGGACAGCATGGAGGAAACTGCCCCCATAATCCAATCACCTCCCAACAGTTCCCTCCCTTGACACATGGGGATTACAGTCTGAGATGAGATTTGGGTGGGGACACAGAGCCAAACCATATCACATGGGGAAAGCAAAAGTGCTTATTTTCTTCCCTTCAACAAAGATTGCCCTCAGTGAAAATGAAAATCTTTCTTTACAATGATCAAACAATCCTTTGGTACCTGAAATAAGTCACAGTTAAGGCCCTATGTCCTTGGTGTGAAAGAACTGTTAAAATTCTTCTGAGTGACACTAGAGTAGAGGCACTAGAGTAGAGGCACCCTATGTGGGTCCAGAAGAGAGGTACTAACCAGAGAGGATGGGCTACCAAACCTGGAGGATTTGGGTCACATCTTGTAACTTACTTGTGCTTTTAGGGCCTGCTCAGACTCGATGACATGTATACCACTTCCATTTGATGATGGGGTGTTGCTGTGCATGCTGACGTTATGGCTTGATGAGTCAGATAACACTCAGTTCATGATAGACAGCTCAGGTCACATGGTAATTTCATGGCTTATGGTTAAGCATTCAGTCTCTACTAAGGCCTGGTAGCAGGCCACCTGTTGTTTCTCAAAAGAGAGTAGTTATCTGCAGAAGATGGCAATCTTCACTCCAAAATCCTAACAGCCAGTACTGTGATTCATCTACAGGGGCTGCTAAAAGCTCCAAACAGAATCCCTGTTTGCCACTGACAGCTCAAGTACCATTGGATCTGCTGGATCAAGTGGCAGGGCAGCTTGTACAGCAGCCTGGACCTGCTGCAGAGCCTTCTTTTGTTTTGGGCACCACTTTAAATGAGTAGCTTTTCAGGTCAGTACTCGGTAAGTAGCCCTAGTAACACACTCAAATAAGGAACACATTGCCTCCAAAATCCAAAGAAGCCCGCTAGGCATTGTGACTCTTTTTTGTTTTTGTTTTTGTTTTCGGTTATAGGAGGAGCCAGATTTAATAATTTATCCTCTACCTTAGAAGAGATACCTTGACATGCCCCATACTACTGGACCCCTAAAAATTTCCCTGAGGTAAAATGCCCTGAAGTTTTGTTAGATTTATTTTACACCTTCTGGCACATGAATAACGGATCAATAAGTCTAGAGCAGTTACTACTTCTCACTCACTATGTCCATCAACATAATGTCATCAATGTAATGGATGAGTGTGATATATTGTGGAAGGGAAAGGCAATAAAGATCCTTGCAAACTAAATTATGGCATAGGGCTGAAAAGGGCTGAGGGAGGATGGTGAAGTGTACTGCTGGCCTTGTAAGCTCAAACCAATAATTTTGGTGGGCCTTATGGACAGATATGGAGAAAAAGTGATTTTCCATATCAATAGCTACATACCAGGTACGAGGGGATGAGTCAATTTGTTCAAGTAATGAAACCACATCTGCAATGTGGTACAAAACTACAATTGAAGTCAACACTTTGTTAAGCTTACAATAATCCACTGTCATCCTCCAAGATCCTGCATGGGCCAAATATACACATTGAATTGGGGATGCAGAGGGAATCACCACCCCTGCATCCTTCAAGTCCTTGATGGTAGCACTAATTTCTGAAATCCCTCCAAGAATGCAGTATTGTTTTTGGCTATTTTTCTGGGTAGAGGCAGTTCTACTGGCTTTCACTTGGCCTTTTCCACTATAGTAGTTCTCACTCTACAGGTCAGGGAACAAATGTGAAGATTCTGTTAGTTGCTGAGTATATCTATTCCAATTATGCATTCCGGAATTGAGGAAATAACCACAGGGTGGATTCAGGGACCCAATAGGCCCACTGTGAGATTAACCTGAGTGAAAACTCCATTGATCACCTACCTGACCTCCATAAGCCCCTACTGTGACTGGTGAGCCATATTTTGGGTCTCCTGGAATTAGTGTCAGTTCAGAGCCAGTATCAAGTAATTTTCCAAAGCTCTGATTATTTCCTTTTCCTCAATTTACAGTTACCCTGGTTAAAGGTCAGTGGTTCCTTTGTGGAAGTCTGAGAGAAAGATTAATAGTATAAATTTTTGGTAGTGACCTGGATGCTTCTTCAAGGGGACTCAGACTCCCCTTCTTTCTAGGAGGCCCTGGGTTTGTAAACTGGCTCAACCCTGGGAATTGATTGAGGAGCTGTGGCTCTGTTTCTGTAATTCAGGTTAGAATTTTTTTCACATCAAGTAATAATTCACTAGAGTTTCTGTCTATTTCATTTCTAGGAAGTCTGTGATAAACCTGCCAATGTCATAGGTCTGCATGTATAGACTATCCTGATTGTTGCCTTGACTCTGTTGTCCATTACCTGGACATGTAACCATGTCCATCTTGCCTTTGGTGATTGAGTGCTGCCACTTGGCCCCTGCAACCCCAGGATCTAATTACTCCCATAGCACTTAGGTTTCCCAATCCAGTGGCTACAGTCCCCACTGTAAAGTCTGGCCTACAGAGAAGAGCGATCACAGGGCTCTTCAAGGATGTTGGACTCCTCTCACAAATTTATTTCTCACAGTTGTGGTGAAAAGTATGTCTTCTGGATTCTCCTAGTGTGGGTGCGTAAGTCTTTAATGACAAATTCACTCTAACATTCCAATCTCTCTAAGCTTTTAATCCCTTCCTCTGCATTACATGTCTGGCATTTCCAAATCAGTCATCTTTCGTTCCATGTTTTATACAACCAACTGACCAAACTGTTAGAGCCCCTTTTTAACTTTCTGTGCTGCAATATTATATGTAGAACGTCTGTATAGTGTGCTCATATCAATAAATTCAGCCTAATCCAACTTTATCTTCCTTCAACCATAATTCCACACTGTTAATATCCATTCTCACACATGTTCCTCTAATTTCTGTCTGTAAATATTAGAAAAATCAAATAGTTATTTTGAAGTCTACTGTGCTTTCTTATGGGTCATACTTTGTATCTCATCTTTAGAGACCTGCTGGCATTTGAGTCTAGTTGTAGGTCCAGAAGCAAATAAAAGTGATGTGGATGGGTCTTGAGGGGAATCAGCATTGTCTTACATGGCAACTGCCTCAGGGGAAGTCATACTGTTTTCTCAGGAAATGTACAGTTAATCCAATCTGCTTATACAGGAGATACCACTAGGGGTGGGGAGACTACTTTCTCTGGCAAAGAAGACTCATCAGAATTTAGGAGCTCAATGTCCCAAGCTTTACTGGGTTCTTCCTTCATGTCTCCATCCATACTTATAGAATCCCATACTTTTCCCAATCAGTGCTTTCACTTTAACAGTAGACAGCCTGTGAGGTTGGGAGTTCAACTTACATTGAAATTCAGGCAGTCACTGGATGAGATTTTGCATTTGACTTTCAGCAATCTCAACCCTGCAGCTACAGAAGATAAGGCTTTCCTCCAGGTCACCCATAGAAGCCTTTAGGTCATTCATACAGCACTTCAACTGGGAAATTGAATCCCTGAGCTCATCCCATCCTTTCATCACTTTGTCTAGTGACCTTAGGAGCAACCAAACAAGGTCATTATATTTGTTTATTTTCTAAAAATGTTCAAAAGTACCATACCCAGTTTCTTGTCTCTTATATCTCTTATAAGTAGTTTTTTGGGTATCCAATGCATATATTTTTTATGTCTCTATTATAATTCATGCCATGGACTATGAGTGCACTCTTTACTATTGGAAATAGAGTCATTAGTGTCTTTAAATCTAATCATATTAGAGAGCCAAACCCAAAACCAATTTAGGCAGCTCATTCTTAAAATTCTCTTTCTCTGGAATCATTCTTAGTACTAAAATCTACTCGGGGTTCTCCAGAGAAGCAGAGCCAATAGGATCTATCTATCTATCTATATATATATCTGTATAGATATATACGTCTATCAAGAGAGATATTTATTATAAGTTATTGGCTCATGTGATTATGGAGGTTGAGAAGTCCCACGATCTGCTGTCTGCAAGCTGGAGATTTAGGAAAGCAGTGGTGTACGAAGGCCTGAGAGCCAGAGAACCAATGATGTAGATTCCAGTCTGTGTCTAAAGGCTTGAGAACCAGGAACATGGATGGCAGGGGAAGATTGATGTCCTAGCTTGAGCAGTCAGGCTGAGAATAACTTCAACCTTTGTCTGTTGTTTTTTTGTCCTATTCAGGCCCTCAGTGGATTGGTTAATGCCTATCCACATTGAGGAAAGCCACATGTTTTACTCACTTCACCAATTCAAATACTAATCCCTTCTGGGAATGCATTCTCGAACACCCAGAAATAATGTTTAACCAGACATCTGGGCATCTTGTGGGCCAGTCAAGTTGACACATAAAATTAACATCATACTGCATGAATAGAAATGCAAGTGCCTACTTTTTCTGCTCAAGTTAGGGATATGTTATGCAGTCAATTTTAGCACAGTTGAGGAGTCACAATGCTATGGCAACAGCTTGACCGGGGTCCAACTCTTGGCTTTAACTGCATGACTTAGGGCAATTTCTGAAACTACCAGCTTACTTTCTATGACATATTGTTATCAACTTCATATCTGAGGCTTGAATTAGTTGATGTAGGTAGGACATTTAACACAGTTCCAGGCACATAGATAGAGTTCAAGCAAATACTGGCTTCGTTATTAAGAGAAGGCTACTCTGGGAACTTTCTCCTGAAGACTTGGTGTAGTAGCCAGAATTACATCTCTCCATCTCCTGAAAAAAATCCACATCCTAATCCCCAGAGCCTGTGATTTTGTCAACTTACATGACAAAAGAGAATTTGGATTTTTAATTAAGAACAAATATCTTAAGATGAGAAGAGTAGAGTATCCTGTGTTATTCATGTGGGTCCAATTTAAATATAAGTCCTTAAAAATGAAGAAACATTCCTGGCTGGGTCAGAGGGAGATGTGACCATGTAAGAAAAATGAGAAAGGTGTTTCATATTCCCAGTTTTGAAGATGGAGAAAGATGGCCACAAGCCAAGGAATGTGGACAGGCTCTAGAAGCTGGAAAAGGGAAGGGGACCTATTTTCTTCTAGACCTTCCAAAAAGGAATGCAGTCACTGACAAATCTTTAGCCAAGTGAGACTCATGTTAGACTTCTGACCTACCTCAGTAGAGAGGTTGTGGAGTGGGGAGTCTGAACAGTACCATACCGAGTTGAAGGTCCTTAGGAGGGCTCCTGGCCTCCTCAAAACTAGCTGTTTTGAGTGAAGAGGCTAAATTGACATCTGATGGTATTTTCAGTTTCTGTTCATGAAGTAGGAAGATTCCCAGCTTGAGCTCAAGCAATTTCCAAGACTAAGTTTCAAACACATCTATGCATGTCTAAAAACTGGTGGGTTTAACATGGAGGAGATTCAATGTGTGAGAAGAAAGGCAATCAGTGAGGTCAGCCCAGTAAGAAGCCTTGGAATTCAGATGGGGGGCAGGACTCTGAGCGCAGTAGAGTCTACTTCCCAGAATTATCTGAATTCTATAGCCAGCAGGGGGCTAAATGTAAAACCAAGGAAGTATTTGTTTTTAGCATCAGCAGATTATAAACTAGACTGGGCAGACAGACTATTCTCCCAGGGCCTCCCAGGTGCCTTTGAAGCTGGACACCATCAGGCCCTCCAGGGTCTGGGCAGTGGCAGTGCCTGCTGAGCAACTTCCAGTACAGTAGAACCAAGAGACTCATGGACAAAATGGTGTTCAGATGAGGAAGGCAGAGGAGCAGAGGTGTGAAAAACACGGGTGACATACATTAGGTGAAAGGACGTGGCTCTGCCCTTACCTAAGACCTTCTACAGAATCTTTTGAAAATAATTAAGGGCTGGGCACAGTGGCTCACACCTGTGATCCCAGCACGTTGGAAGGCCAAGGCAGGAGGCTCACTTGAGACTAGGAGTTTGAGACCACCTGGGAGACAGAGTGAGACTTCATCTCTACAAAAAATTAGCTGGTCATTGTGGTGTGTGTCTGTAGTCCTAGCTGCTCAAGAGGTTAAGGTGGGAGAATTGCTGGAGTCCAGGAGTTCGAGGCTGCAAAGAGTTATAATCTATGATTGTGCCAGTGCACTCCATCTTGGACAACAGAGGGAGACCCTGTCTCAATAAACAAAGAAACAAACAAATAAAGGGGGAATTTTGGAGAGTGAGAGGGATCATTGAAGACAGAAGTTCTGCAACTTAAAAACAGTTCACATATGAACCATCTTTAGATGTAATGTTGATTTAAAAATTGATTAGATCTTCTTCCAGGACATCATGTTGAGTGACTGCAACTGGAGAACAGCGAGCTGTGCAGGATGGAGCTGTTGGGGCAGGTTAATGACAAAGGAAGTAGGTTATACCCGAACAGCAGCTTGAACACTCACCCCAGGGTTTAACTGACAAGTTTCATGAGCAACCTAGCAGTGCTCTATTGCTTCATTAAGCAGGCCAGTGAAACTCTCATATTATCAGAATATTATCAGGATTCCCTTAACAGGTACTGAAGAAGTAATTTTCTAGGAAAGAAAATTCTAATGGATGAATAAAAAATCAACCAAACAAATACACATCACCCCTGGACAAATGCCTACTTATCCTTTAGACTTAATGTAATGCAGCTTCCTACAGGTAGTAATTTTTACTGCCTTATGATGACCAAAGAAGTAATTATAAGAAACCAGGCATCTTCAACAGTCCCACTGGTACACTAATGGATTGCCACATAGGTTGTTTACAGACAAATCATTGCAGAGAGAGAATAGATTAAGAAAGAACATTCTAAGAAGACCAGATTTAATCTTGGTTGACAGAGACATTCTTATCTATGACTGGCTAATTAGAGTACATTCAAAATATTAATGTAGCATATACACCTAGGGCATAAAAAATTTTCCAGAAAACTGTCTGGACACACACCAACATATTTTTTTAATTAATTTTTAATTTTTGTGGGTATACAGTAGATGTATATATTTATGGGTTACATGAGATATTTTGATATAGGCATACAATGCATAGTAATCACATCAGGGCAAATGTGGTATCCATCACCTCAAGCATTTATCCTTTCATGTTACAGTCTAATTATACCGCTTACCTATTAAAAATGTACAATTAAATTATTTTTGACTATAGTAAACCTGTTGTGCTGGCAAATGCTAGGTCTTATTCATTCTTTCTATTATTTAAACCCATTACCCATCTCCACTTCCCTGCCACCAACCCACTACCCTTCGCAGGATAGTAACCATCCTTAACACTCTCTATCTCCATGGGTTCAATTATTTTAATTTTTAGCTCTCACAAATAAGTGAGAACATGTGAATTTTGTCTTTCTGTGCCTGGCTTATTTCACTTAACATAATGACCTCCAGTTTCATCTATGTTGTTGAAAATGACAGGTTCTCATTCTTTTTATGGCTGAATACTCCATTGTGTATATGTGCCACATTTTCTTTATTCCTTCATCTGTTGATGGATGTTTAGATTACTTCCAAATAATGGCTATTGTGAATAGTGCTGCCATAAACTCAATAAAGAGTGCAGATATCTCTTCAATATACTGATTTCCTTTTTTTGGGTACATACCTAGGACTGGGATTGCTGGATCATAAGACAGCTCCATTTTTAGTTTTTTGAGGAACCTCCAAACTGTTCTCCATAGTGATTGTAATACTTTACATTCCCACCAACAGTGTACAAGGATTCCCTTTTCTTTACATCCTCACCAGCATTTGTTATTGCCTGTCTTTTGGATAAAGCCCATCTTAAATGGGGTGAGATGATATTGTAGATTTGATTTGCATTTCTCTGATGAGCAATGATGTGGAGCACCTTTTCATATACCCATTTTCCATTTGTGTGTCTTCTTTTGAGAAGTGTCTATTCAGATTTCTTGCCCATTTTAAAAGTTTTCCTATAGAGTTGTTTGAGCTCATTATATAATCTGGTTATTAATCTCTTGTCAGATAGGTAATTCACAAATATTTTCTCCCATTGTGTGGGTTCATTCTTCGCTTTGTTTCAAACTTTGCTGTGCAGAAGGTTTCTAACTTGATGTGATTCCATTTGTCCATTTTTGCTTTGGTTGCCTGTACTTGTATGGTATTCCTCAAGAAATCTTTGCCCACTTAAATGTCCCAGGGAGTTTCCCCAATGTTTTCTTGCAGTCGTTTCATAGCCTGAGGTCTTAGATTTAAGTATTTAACCCATTTTGGTTTGATTTTTGTATATGGTGAGAGATAAAGGTATAGTTTTATTCTTCTGCATATGGATATCCATTTTTTCCCAGCAATATTTATTGAGACATATTCCTCAATGTATGTTCTTAGCACCTTTGTCAAAAATGAGTTCACTAGATGTATGGATTTATTTCAGGGTTCTCTCTTTTGTTCCATTTGTCTATGTGTCTGTTTTAATGCTAGTACCATGCCATTTTGGTAACTATAGCTCTCTAATATAATTTGAAGTCAGGTAATATGACTCCTCCAGTTTTGTTCTTTTTCCTTAGGATAGCTTTGGCTATTCTAGGTCTTTTGTCATGCCATAGAAATTTTAGAATTGTTTTTTCTATTTCTGTGAAGAATGCCATTTATATTTTGATAGAGATTGCATTGAATCTTTAGATTGTTTTGGGTAGCATGGACATTTTAACAATATTGATTCTTCTAGTCAATGAACATAGAATATCTTTCCATTTTTTGTGTGTGTCCTCTTCAATTTCTTTCATCAGTGTTCTGTAATTTTCATTGCAGTGATCCTTCATTTGTTTGGTTAATTCTTCAATATTTTATTTTATTTGTAGTTTTATAAATGACATTACTTCTTTGATTTCTTTTTCAGATTGTTTGCTGTCAGCATATAGAAATGCTACCAATTTTTGTATGTTGATTTTGTATCCTGAAATTTTACTGAATTTGTTGATCAGTTCTAATAGTTTTTTGGTGGAGTCTTTAGTTTTTTTTTTTCAAATACAAAATCATGTTATCTGCAAACAAGGATAATTTGACATCTTTCTTTCCAATTTGGATGCCCTTTATTTCCTTCTCTTGTCTGATTGCTCTAGCTAGAACTTCCAGTACTATGTTGAATAACCATGATGAAAGCAGGCAACTTTGTCCTCTTCCAGATCTAAGAAGAAAGGCTTTCAGTTTTCTCCCACTCAGTATGATACTAGCTGTGGGTCAGTTATATATGGCTTTTATTATGTTGAGGTATGTTCCTTCCTTTTTAAAAATTTTTTATTTCCATACGTTACTGGGGAACAGGTGGTGTTTGGTTACATGAGTAAGTTCTTTAGTAGTGATTTGTGAAATTTTGGTGCACCTGTCACCCAAGCAGTATACACTGTACCTTATTTGTAGTCTTTTATCCCTCACCCTCTTCTCACCCTTTCCCCCTGAATCCCCAAAGTCCATTGTGTCATTCTTTTTCCTTTGCATCCTCATAGCTTAGCTCTCACTTATGAATGAGAACATATGGTGTTTGGTTTTCCATTCCTGAGTTACTTCAATTAGAATAATAGTTTCCAATCTCATCCAGGTCGCTGTGAATGCCATTAATTCATTCCCTTTTATGGCTGAGTAGTAATCCATCATATTTATACCACAGTTTACCTGCTCATTGATTGATAGGCATTTGGTTGGTTCTACATTTTTGCAGTTGTGAATTGTGCCACGATAAACATGCATGTGCAAGTATCTTTTTTGTATGATGACTTATTTTCCTCTGGGTAGATATCCAGTAGTGGATTGCTGGATCAAACGGCAGTTCTACTTTTAATTCTTTTAGTTCTGATAGGTTTTCTTTTATAGGTTACCTGGTGCTTTTGTCTCATAGCTCTTAAAATTCTTTCCTCCCTTTAACTTTAGATAATCTGATGACAGTGTGCCTAGGCAATGATCTTTTTGTGATGAATTTCCCAGATGTTCTTTGTGCTTCTTGTATTTGAATGTCTAGGTCTCTAGCAAGGCCAGATAAATTTTCCTCGATTATTCCCCAAATACGTTTTTCAAACTTTTAGATTTCTCTTCTTCCTCAGGAACACTGATTATTCTTAGGTTTGGTCGTTTAACATAATCCCAGACTTCTTGGAGGCTTAGTTCATATTTTCTTATTCTTTGTCTTTGTTGGATTGGGTTAATTCAAAGACCGTGTCTTTGAGGTCTGAATTTCTTTCTTCTGCTTGTTCAATTCTATTGCTGACACTTTCCAGAGCATTTTGCATTTTATAAGTGTGTCCATTGTTTCTTGAAGTTTTGATTGTTTTTTATTTATGCTATTTCCTTAACTATTTCTCCTTTCACTTCTTGTATCTTTTTTTTTTTAATTTCCTTACATTGGGCTTCACCTTTCTCTGGTGCCTCCCTGAATAGCTTAATAACAAACCTCCTGATTTCTTTTTCAGGTAAATCAGGGATTTCTTCTTGATTTGGGGTCATTGCTCATGAGCTAGTGTGATTTTTTTGGGGGGTATTAACCTTGTTTTATCATATTACCAGAGTTGGTTTTCTGGTTCCTTCTCATTTGGGCAGTCTCTGTCAGAGGGAAGGTCGAGGGCTGAAGGCTGTTGTTCAGATTCTTTTGTCCCACAGGGTGTTCCCTTGATGTAGTACTCTCCTCCCTTTTCCTATGGTTGTGGCTTCCTGAGATCTGAGCTGGAGCTGTAGTGATTATTATCTGTCTTCTTGACAAGCCACACAGCAAGTCTACCAGCCTCTGGGCTGGTACTGGGGGTTGTCTGCACAGAGTCCTGTGATGTGAACCATCTGTGGGTCTCTCAGCCGTGGATACCATCACCTGTGCTGGTGGAGGTGGCAGCTGAGTGAAATGAACTCGGTGAGGGTTCCTAGCTTTGGCGGTTTAATGCACTATTTTTGTGCTGGTTGGCCTCCTGCCAGGAGGTGGCACTTTCCAGAGAGCATCAGCTGTGGTAGTATGGGGAGGAACAGATGGTGGGTGGGCCCCTAGAACTCCCAAGAGTATATGCCCTTTGTCTTCAGTTACCAGGGTGGGTAGGAAAGGACCATTGGGTGGGGGCAGGGCTAGGCTTGTCTGAGCTCAGACTCTCCTTGGGTGGGTCTTGTTGCAGTTGCTGTGAGGATGGGGGTGAGTTTCTCAGGTCAATGGAGTTATGTTCCTAGGAGGATTATGCCGGTTTCTACTGTGTCATGCAGGTTGTCAGGGAAGTGAGGGAAAGCCAGGAGTCACAGATCTCACCCAGCTTCCATGCAATCCAAAGGGCCGTTCTCACTCCCAATGTGCCCCCGGACCCAACAGCACTGAGTCTGTTTCCAGGCAGTGGGTAAGCAGGGCTGAGAACTTTCCCCAGGCAATCTGCTTCCCAGCTGTGAAAGCAAATATGGCTTTCCTTCTTCCCCCACCTGTGGAGACTGCACACCGGATTCACGCCCTTCCCTGAGTTCTGGCCAGGAGTGTTCTCAATCAGCTCAAATTGTTACAAAGTTCAGCTGGAGGTTTTCTTCTCCTGTGGCTTTTCCCGGCATCTCTGGTCGCCCTCCTGAAGGACCCCTGTGAGGCCAGGCAAAAAAGACTTGCTAGGAGACCCAGTGAGCTCCCAGGGCTTTTCCTGCTGCTTCCTCTACCCTGTATTTCACTCAGCTCTCTAAATTGACTCAGCTCCAGGTAAGGTCAAAATCTTCTCCTGCAATGTGGGCCTTCAGTTTCCCCAGTGGGGGTGTGTGTTCCGGGGTGGACAATCTCCCTTTCCCACTTCCACAGTATTTGTGTTGTTTCCCGGGTCCTGCAGGAGCAATCTGCTTCCTTCAGGGGTGTCTGTGGGTCCTCTCAGGTGTCCTGATTTATTCCTGCAGTTGCTCTGGAGCAAAAGCTCATGATGAGCCTCCACATGCTGCTCTGTCCATCCGAGTCAGAGCTGCAATGTAGTCCTGCCTCCTGTCTGCCATAATCCCCTGGTTGAAAAAGTCAGGGTATGTTCCTTCTATCCCCATTTTTTGATGGTTTTTATTATGAAGGGATGTTGAACATTATCAAATGCTTTTTCAGCATCAGTTGAAATGATCATATTGTTTTTGTCCTTCATTCTGTTGATATGATATACTATATTGATCGATTTGTGTATGTTGAACCATTCTATTATCTCTGGGATAAATCCCACTTTGTCATGGTGAATGAGCTCTTTAATCTGTTCAATTCAGTTTGCCATTATTTTGTTGAGGATTTTTGCATCAATATTCATTGGTGATATTGGCCTATAGTTTTCTTTTTCTTTTTTTTTTTTTTTGCTGTATCTTTGTCTGGTTTTCATATCAGGGTAATAATGGCCTCATAAAATGAAACTGGAAGTATTCCGTCATCCTCTATTTTTTAGAATAGGTTGAGTAGGATTGGTATTCTTTTTTAAATGTTTGATAGAGTTTAACAGTGAAGCCATTGGGTCCCTGGATTTTGTTTGCTGTAAGAATTTTTATTATGGCTTTGATTTCATTATTTGTTATTGGCCTATTCAGGCTTTGGATTTCTTCATGGTTCAATCTTGGTAGCTTGTATGTGTCTGGGAATTTATCCAGTTCCTCTAGATTTTTCCAATTTATTGGCATATAGTTGCTCCTAGTAACCACTAATGATCCTTTGAATATCTGCAGTATTGTTTGTAATGTCTCCCTTTTTATCTCTGATTTTATTTATTTGGGTCTTCCCTCTTTCTTTCTTAGTCTGGCTAAAGGTATGTCAGTTTTGTTTACCTTTTCCAAAAACTAACTTTTTGTTTCATTTGTATTATTTTCTTCATTTCCATTTCATTTATTTCTGCTCTGATCTTTATTATTTCTCTTCTACTAATTTGGGGTTTGGTTTGCTCTTGTTTTTCTAGTTTTGTAAGATGCATAATTTGGTTGTGTTTGAGGTTTGTCTACTGTTTTGATGTGGGTGCTTATAGCTATAAACTTTCCTCTTAATACAGCTTTCACAGTATCCCATAGGTTTGGCATATTATATTTTAATTATCATTTGTTTTAAGAAATGTCTCAATTTCCTTCTTAATTTCTTCATTAACTCACTGATCATTTAGCAGCATATTATTTAATTTTCATGTGTTTGTAGGGTTTCCAAAATGTCTCTTGTTATTGATTTCTAGTTTTGTTCCACTGCGGTCAGAGAAGATACTTACTGTTTCAATATTTTGGAATGTTTTAATACTTGTTTGGTGACCTAACATATGGTCTATCCTTGACAATGATCCATGTGCTGAGAAGAATGTACATTCTGTAGCCAGTGGATGGAATATTCTGTAAATATCTATTAGGTCAATTTGGTCCATGGTGTAGATTCAGTTCAATGTTTCTTTGTTGATTTTCTGTCAGGAAGATCTATCAGTGCTGGAAGTTGAGTGCTAAAGTCTCCAGCTATGATTACACTGGGATCTGTCTCTTTAGCTCTAATAATGTTTGCTTTATATATCTGGGTGCTCCAGTGTTGGATGCATATATATTTATGATTGCCATATTCTCTTGCTGAATTTATCCCTTTATCATTATGTAATGACCTTCCTTGTCTCTTCTTATAGTTCTTGTTCTGAAATCTATTTTGTCTGATATAAATATAACTACTCTTGCACTTTTTTTGGTTTCCATTAACATAGAATATCTTTTTCTATCCCTTTATTTTCATTCTATCTGCATCTTTATAGGTGAAGTGTGTTTTTTGTAGGCAACAGATTGTTAAGTCTTTTTGTTTTTTTAAAATAATCCATTCAGCCACTCTATGTCTTTTGATTGGTGAGTTTAGTCTATTTTCATCCAATGTTATTATTATTAAGGACTTACTTCTGCCATTTTATTATTTGTTTTCTGGTTGTTTTGTGGTCTTCTTTTCCTTCTTTACTTCCTTCTTATCTTTCCTTCAGTGAAGGTGATTTTCTCTGGAGGTATGATTTCATTTATTGCTTTTTATATATCCTGTGTATGTTTTCTGATGAGATTACCATGAGGCTTGCAAATACTCTTATAACTTATTATTTAAAGCTGATAAGAATGTAACACTACTTGCATGAACAAAGTAGCAAAAAGAAAATGAATAAAAACTACACTTTAACTTTGTCCCCCTGCTTTTTAACTTTTTGTTGGTTCTATTTATATCTTATTTTATATTTCATGTCTTGAAAAGTTGTTGTAGTTATGATTTGTGATTGGTTCATCTTGTACTCTTTCTATTTAGAAAAAGAGTAGTTTATATACCACAGTTACAGTGTTACAATATTCTGTGTTTTTCTATGTAGTTACTAATACCAGTGAGTTTTGTACCTTCAGATGATGTCGTGTTACTCACTAACATCCTTTTCTTTCTGATTGAAGTGCTCCCTTTAGCACTTCTTGTAGGACAGGTCTGGTGTTGGTGAAATCCCTTGGCTTTTGTTTATCTGGGGAAGTCTTTATTTGTCCTTCATGTTTGAAGGATATTTTTACCAGATACACTATCCTAGGATAAAAGTATTTTTTCTTCAGTAATTTAAATATGTCATGCTGCTCTCTTCTGGCCTGTAAGGTTTCCACTGGAACGTCTGCTGCCAGACATATTGGAGCTCCATTTTATGTTATTTGCTTCTTTTCTCTTGCTGCTTTTAGGATCTTTTCTTTTTTATTGACCTTTGGGAGTTTGATTATTAAATGCCTTGAGGTAATCTCTTTGGGTTAAATCTACTTGGTGTTTATATTAGTCCATTCTCACACTGCTACAAAGAAATACCTGAGACTGGGTAATTTATAAAGAAAAGAGGTTTAATTGGTTCATGGTTCTGCATACTGTACAGAAAGCATAGTGGCTTCTCCTTCTGGGGAGGCCTCAGGGAGCTTTTACTCATGGCAGAAGGCAAAGTGGAAGCAAGCATCTTACATGGCAGAAACAAGACCGAGAGAGTTGGAGAGGTGCCACACACTTTTAAACAACCAGATCTCTTGAGAACTCACTCACTACACAGTACCAGGGGGGAGGGTGCTAAACCATTCATGAGAACTCTGCCCCCGTGATCCAGTCACCTCCCACTAGGCCCCATCTCCAACACTGGGGATTAAAATTTTACATGAGATTTGGTGGGGACACAGATCAAAACCATATCAGTTTTTTATAACCTTCTTATTCTTACATAGAATTCTTATTCTTACACATTATTCTTATATAGGATCCAGGTATTGGCCACCGTGGGCACTGAGTGAGACCCAGTACTGGGCTGGCTTTCTCTAGGTTTGGGAAGTTCTCCGTTATTATCCCTTTGAATAAACTTTCTACCCTTATCTATTTCCCTACCTCCTGTTCAAGGCCAATAACTCTTAAATTTGCCTTTTTGAGGCTATTTTCTAGATATTGTAGGTGTGCTTCATTGTTTTTTATTCTTTTTACTTTTTTGTTTTCTGACCATATATTTTCAAATAGCTGTCTTCAGGGTCACTAATTCTTTTTTCTGCTGGATCAGTTCTGCTATTAAGAGAACTCTGATGTATTCTTCAGTCTGTTAATTGCATGTGCCAACTCTAGAATTTCTGCTTGATTCCTTTAAATTATTTCAATCTCTTTGTTAAATTTATCTGATAGAATTCTGAATTTCTTCTATGTGTTATCTGGAATTTCTTTGAGTTTCCTCAAAACAGCTATTTTGAATTATCTGTCTCATCTCTGTTTCTCCAGGATTGGTTCCCAGTTCCTTATTAAGTTTGCTTGCTAAGGTTGTGTTTTCCTGGATGGTCTTGATGCTTGTTGATGTTCACCAGTGTCTGCGCCTTAAAAAGTTAGGTATTTATTATAGTCTTCACTGTCCAGGCTTGTTTGTACCTGTTCTTGGAAAGGCTTTCCAGGTATTCAGAAGGACTTGGGTATTGTGATCTAAACTATGTCTGCATTGGGGGTACCACAAGTGCAGTAATGCTGTGCTTCTTGAAGACTCATAGACTTATTGCCTTGGTGGTCTTGGATAGGATCTAGAAGAGTACTCTGGATTACCAGGAAGAGACTCTTCTCTTCCCTTACTTTCTCCAAAACAAACAGTCTGTCTCTCTTTCTATGCTGAGCTGCCTGGGGCTGGGGATACGGTGACACAAGCACCTCTGTGGTCACCACCACAGAGACTGTGCTGGGTCATACCTGAAGCCAGCCCAGTACTGGGTCTCACTCAGTGCCCACGGCGGCCACTACCTGGTGACTGCCTATATTTGCTCAATGCCCTCAATACCCTAGTGGTTTACAATCAGAAACTGGCAATGCCAGCCAGGCTTATGTCCTTCCCTTCATGGTACTGACATCCCTCAGGCCCTGGACAGGTACAGAGATGCGGTCTGGGAGCTAGGGACTAGGGTCAGAAGCCTTATAAGTTTACCTGGTATCCTAGTCTACTACGGTTGAACTGGTTCTCAAACCACAAGACCCAGTACTTCTCATTCTTCCCTCCCCTTTCCACAGGCAGAGGAGCCTCTCCTGCCCCAAGCCTATGGCAAGTATTGCCTGTCCACCACCAATGTTCCCTTAAGGCCTAAGCATTCTTCATTTGTATTGTGGTAAATGTTACCAGGCCTGGGACTCATCCTTTAGGGCAATGGGCTCACCTTTGTGGAACTACCACATTTCTGGTAGTTCCAGAAATGCCATTGAAGAACCAAGGCGTGGAATTGGGGATCCCAAGAGCCTACTTGTTGCTTTGCCCCACTGTGGCCAAGCTGGTACCTGAGGTGAACTCAAAGTCCCCTTTACTTTTCCCTGTACTGTTCTCAAGCAGAAGGAGTCTCTCACCATAGCCATCATGGCTGGGAATGTGCTGGGTCTCACCTGATGCCAGCATGTCTCAGAGTCTCACCCAAGGCCCATAGTGTACTGCCTGAGTATCGCTGCTTATTATTCAGGGCCCAAGGGCTCTTTAGTCAGCAGGTAATAGATCCTGTGTTGGGTCCTTCTCTTCAAAGTAGCTGGTTCTCTTCTGGCCCATGATGTATGTAGAAATGTAATCTGGGGGGTAGGGCCTGGAATGGGAGCTTCACGACTCTGATCAGAACCCTATTCTTCTGTGGCTGAACTGGTATCCAAGTTGCAAGACAAAAGTCCTCTTTACTCTTCCCTCTCCTCTCCTTAAGCAGAAGGAAGGGCCCTCTTTTGGAGCTGTGAGTTTTACTGCCTGGGGTTGGGGGAGGGATGGTGCAAGCATTCTCTTAGCTGCCCTGGCTGGTGTCTCAGTATGTTGTGTGCCCCTAAGTCCACTGGCTCCTAGCTCAGCTTAGCACTAGGACTTGAAGTGCTTGTGGCCCAGACCGCCTTCTAAGTTTATTTATGGCCCCAGAGCACTTCAGCCCATGGTGGCAAGGCTTGCTGGAAGTTAAGTTCCAACTGCTGGAATGGGCAGCTCCCCTTTGTCTAGGGCTGGTCTGAATGCTTCCTCTATAGGCGGATGTCCACTGAGATCAGCCTGGTTTTGTTTTCCCCTGTGACAGGGCTGCACTGATTTCCATGCAAAGTCTCACAATTGCTGCACTCTCCCTCTCCCAAGTGCAGAGATTTCTCTGTGACATGTGGCCGCTACAGGAGGATTAGGGTGGTGGTGTTAGCAATTCAATACGGTCTTTTCTACCCTATTCAGTGCCTTTCTCAGCAATATAAAGTTAAAGGCAGGTACTGTTAGTGCTCATCTGATTTTTGATTCTTATGAAGTTGCTATTTTTATCTAGCTAGTTGTTGAATTTGGTTTTCCCATAGTGGGGCACAATCTGGGGCCTTCTATTCTGCCATCTTGCTTCTTGCCTTTCTTCCATTCTAACATATCAGTAGTGGTAATCTCTGGGAACTGAAATTGTAAGTTACTTTCATTTTCTTTACACTATCTGTATATTTAAATTTTCATTGCGATGATATATATTTCTTTTATAAAAAACTATTAAAACACTTTAATAACAACTTATGGGCTTTAAACTAAAAACATTTTGAAAATATATTCTCAGCAGACATGCATTCAACAAAATATTTGTTTCTATCATGTGATGGTATGGTGACAGATATGATAACATCACTGGAAAAGAACAAAGGCAAAAATGACCCGTATCCACACTCTGGTGGGACAGACAGAGACATTTGTACATAGGCCAAGTACAGTTATATAAGCCAAGTGCCATAGGAGTACAGCAGAAGGGGAAACAGCTGGGGATTTATGAAAGGGTTTTGGAAAAGATGACTGACACAGACCTTGAGGTATTTCAACAGATGCAGAAGTGAGATGAAAATTAGTCTGAGGAGTATAACAGTGACAGCTAGAAGTGGTATTACATGTTCACCAACTAGAGTGCCTGTCCCAAAGAACTTGTGGCAGAGCACTTAGGGATAGGAGAAAAAATAGCAGAGCATCCACAAAGACCAGATGGAGAGGCAGCATTTCCCACAGGAAAGTATGCAGCTTGCAGACAAAGAGACTGTATTATTAGTTCATTTTCACACTGCTGATAAAGATATACCTGAGACTGGGCAATTTACAAAGGAAAGAGGTTTATTGGACTTACAGTTCCACATGGCTGGGGAGGCATCACAATCCTGTCAGAAGATGGAAGGCATGTCTCACATGGTGGCAGACAGGAGAAGAGAGCTTGTGCAGGGAAACTCCTCTTTTTTAAACCATCAGGTCTTGTGAGACTTATTCACTATCATGAGAACAGCACAGGAAAGATCTGCTCCCATGATTCAATTACCTCCCACCAGATCCCTCCCACAACACGTGGGAATTAAAGATGAGATTTGGGTGAGGACACAGCTAAACCATATTATTTTGCCCTGGTCCCTCCCAAATCTCATGTCCTCACATTTCAAAACCAATATGCCTTCCCAACAGTCTCCCAAAGTCTTAACTCATTTCAGCATTAACTCAAAAGTCCACAGTCCAGCGTCTCATCTGAGTCAAGGCAAGTGCCTTCTGCCTATGAGCCTGTAAAATCAAAAGCAAGTTAGTTACTTCCTAGATACAATGGGGGTACAGACATTGGGTAAATACAGCCATTCCAAATGGGACAAATTGGCTAAAACAAATGGGGCTACAGGCCCCATGCAAGTCAGAAATCCAGAGGGGCAGTCAAATCTTAAAGCTCCAAAATAATCTCCTTTGACTCCACATCTCATATCCAGGTCACACTGATGTAAAAGCTGGTTTCCAATGGTCTTGGGCAGCTCCACCCCTGTGGCTTTGCAGGGTACAGTCTCTCTTCGAGCTGCCTTCATGGGCTGGCATTGAGTGTCTGTGGCTTTTCCAAGTGCATGGTACAAACTGTCAGTGGATCTACCATTCTGGGGTCTGGAGGACGGTGGTCTGGAGACAGTTGCTCTACTAGGCAGTTCCCCAGTAGGGACTCTGTGTGGGGGCTCTGAACCCACATTTCCCTTCTGCATTGCCCTAGCAGAGGTTCTCCATGAGAACCTTGCCCCTGAAGCAAACTTCTGCCTGGGCATCCAGGCGTTTCTATAGATCTTCTGAAATCTAGGTGGAGGTCCCCAAACCCCAGTTCTTGACTTCTGTGCACTCACAGGCTCAAAACCATGTGAAAGCCACCAATGCCTGAGGCTTACACCCTCTGAAGCCACAGCCTGAGCTCTATGTTTTCCCCTTTCAGCCACAGCTAGAGTGGCTGGGATGCAGGGCACCAAGTCCCTAGGCTGCACACAGTATGGGGATCCTGGGCCCAGCCCATGAAACCACATTTTTCTCCTAGGCCTCTGGGCCTGTGATGTGAGGGGCTGTCATGAAGAACTCTGACATGTCATGGAGACATTTTCTCCGTTGTCTTGGGGATTAACATTCAGCTCCTCATTACTTATGCAAATTTCTGTAGCTGGCTTGAATTTCTCCTCAGAAAGTGGGATTTTCTTTTCTATCACATTGTCAGGCTGCAAATTTTCTTAACTTTTATGCTCTGCTTTCCTTATAAAATTGAATGCCTTTAACAGTACCCAAGTCACCTTTTGAATACTTTGCTGCTTAGAAATTTCTTTCACCAGGCCGGGCGTGGTGGCTCACACCTGTAATCCCAGCACTTTGGTAGGCCAAGGCGAGTGGATCACCTGAGGTCAGGAGTTCAAGACCAGCCTGGCCAACATGGTGAAACCCAATCTCTACTAAAAAATACAAAAATTACCTGGGTGTGGTAGCAGGCACCTGTAACCCAGCTACTCTGGAGGCTGAGGCAGGAGAATCGCTTGAACCCGGGAGGTGGAGGTTGCAGTGAGCCAGGATTGCGCCATTGCACTCCAGCCTGGGAGACAAAGCCGGACTCCATTACAAAAAAAAAAAAAAAATTTCTTCCACCAGATACCACAAATCATGTCTTTTAAGTTCAAAGTTCCACAAATCTCTAGGGCAGGGGCAAAATACCACCAGTCTGTTTGCTAAAACATATGAAGAGTCACCTTTGCTCCAGTTCCCAAGTTCCTCATCTCCATCTAAGCCTACCTCAGTCTGGACCTTATTGTTCTTATCACTTTTTTTTTTTTTTTTGTCAAAAATGGCATTTTTGTCAAAACCATTCAACAAATCTCTAGGAAGTTCCAAACTTTCCCACATTTTCCTGTCTTCTTCTGAGCCCTCCAAACTGTTTTAACCTCTGCCTGTTACCCAGTTCCAAAGTCACTTCCACATTTTTGGGTATCTTTTCAGCAGTGCCCCACTCTACTGGTACCAATTTACTGTATTATTACATTTTCACACTCTGATAAAGACATGCTCAAGACTGGGCAATTTACAAAAGAAAGTGATTTATTGGACTTACAAGTTCCACGTGGCTGGGGAGGCCTCACAATCATGGCAGAAGGTGAAAGGCACATCTCACATGGTGGCAGACAAGAGAAGAGAGTTTATGCAGGGAAACTCCTCTTTTTAAAACCATCAGATCTTGTGAGACTTATTCACTATCATGAGAAGAGCACGGGAAAGATCTGCTCCATGATTCAGTTACCTCCCCCTGAGTCCCTCCCACCACAAGTGGGAATTCAAGATGAGATTTGGGTCGGGACACAGCCAAACCGTATCAGAGACCATGGTTGACATCTTGGGGTTGAACTCTCAAAAGATTATCAAGGGAAGAAACTACAGCCTGGTTCCATCTAAGCACACCACTGCAATCTGAATGGACACTCACAGAAGCACATTTGGGTATTAATGGCCTCAGAAGATACATTCTATGCTGTCAATGACTCACTGCATATAAGCAGTTTGAGAAAACAGAACAGAAAAACACTGACTTGACTATTTCTCTAAAAAGCTTAGCAAGTAAGCTTAAGTTTATTTTTCTCTATGTTGTTTACTACCTAAAATCTTCTGAAACCTCATACTTCTGATGATTTATTTAAAAACTCAATAAAGTTAGAGATCTCCTTTCTTTACCTAAACTTGCCTGACACATTTTTTTCCTTGTGTAAATCAGATGCTGCTTGCCTGACTCCTTCCTAGTGCAGGCCTGCCAGCTGGGGCTGAGAGACAATTGCAAGCCATGGAGACTGAGAGGCTGCAGAGCTCGGCAAACCCATCCCCAGAGGGGTCTTTTGGCACCTAATAAATGTCTTATTGGATCCAGGCTCACATTTAGGCAGATCAGACATGTCTGTTTTTATTTCTAGGCCTTTCCTCAGTGGAACTTGCAAAACCAAGCCATAATTACATGCAAACTAGGGATACAGATCCAGTAAATGAGAACCTGCAAACTGAAGGAAAAAAGTTTAAATTTAGATTCAGATTGCAAATAGCTGAAGAACCTTATATTTGAGATGTCCTGAGCCATTCTATTGAGGAAGATTATTATTTTTCTCTGGCTCAGTCTTTGTCATGGAATTTATAATCTATAAATGTAGATACCAATCAAGGAAATATTCAGAAAGAAGAGTTTAGTTATTTGAACGATTGAAGTGATCACTGGCACTTGGAATGTGCATTTGAGAAGACTGCAGCATCCCAGCATTCCCAGGCACTTGGTTGGGTATTCTCCAAGCAAGCCTGTGAAATCTCTTTTCCAGCCTTTCCCTGGCTATCACATCCTCATCAAACCCAATATTTCTTCCTTCAGCCAGTTCCTGTAATGCCTAATATCTACATATTTATCTTTGATGAATCTTTCCACCAACGTAGTAGATTCTGCAGGAGGTAGATGCAACTAGGGCGGTTCTAATCTCTAGTTGGCTTAAATCCCTGTGACTTTATTAATAAAGCAAGAAAAAAACCCTTTCCCTATTTCTAAAATGGGGTTTCTCAAATTGTGGTTTTCCCCAGAACTGTATGCATTAGAATTTCCTTGGGAATGCTTGTTAAATGTGGACTCCTGTGTCTTGCCAGACACACCATATCTCCAAGGTATGGAGATCTGGAACTACATATTTAGACAGCATTCTAGGCAGTTGTGTCAGGCACAGGTGTTTAAGAACAATTACTAAGGATTGGGTATGAATTTACCCTATTTTCTCTTTAAGATTGCCTGGTAGTGAGTTCTTTGTCCATCAAAGTTGCCCTTAAAGTGTATGTGAGAGTGGAGAAATGTTTGGGGGCAATTTTAGGGAAGGAGCAAGAAAGTTGGATGAAATAGAAGAAAATTCAAAGTCCCTTTTTCATGATATCCTCAGGCCTTCAAATGATTGGATAAGGCCCATCCACATCATGGAGGACAATCTGCTTTACTCAAAGTCCACTGACTTAAATGTTAAACTCATCTAAAACACCTTTCAAGTTAAAACACAAAATTAAGCGTCACATGAAGATATCATGAAGGAATCTTGAATTTTGTCCTATTTCATCAAACTTTCTTGTTCCTTCCCTACCAGCAACCTCTGCATGTTCTTATGCCTTCACACATCTTTGAACACACCTTTAAGGGCAACTTTGATGGAGAAAGAATTCATTACGAGGCAATCTGAGAGAGAAAATGGTCTCAAACACTGGTGCCTGACAAAATTGCCAAGGATGATTTATTTGTTGTTTATAGAAGAATTATATTTGTTTCAGGTGAAAGTTAGAGTAGAGGTTATTGATTGTATGTGTTGTATATATGCTAGGGAATATCAAGATTATCTGCACACATATAGTACATTAATATTCATTTTATTCACATATGCATTACTTATAAGTTTAGTACTTATCCTATGTGAACATTAGGTGTTCAATAAATAATTTGTGAGTGAATGCATGCTGTTTGTTATGTTTGTCATTTATTTCATGTTGAGTGGTCAATCATGGAGATAACCTCCACATATGTTGCTGAATAGATGGTGTGGTATAAAGAAAGGGACTAAAACTTTGTAAACAAATGATTGTGGTTAACATGAAACAAGATAGCTTTTAAAACCACAAAGCAGTGCTGTATGCATAATCAATAAAAAATCAAGTTTGGGCCCCTTAAGCTTTAGTCTTAAGGAAAAAAAAATGATTCCCATTGCAACATATACTCTTAAAATGCATCTTGTAGAAAGCAGAGAGCTTAGACAGACTGTGATGAGCTGATCAAAACTTATGTGAATTATAGGGCTATTCTGCCGGTTGTACAGATGGCTTGAGACACTGGCCTTTGTCAGTAAGTGTAAGGAAAGAAGACAGATAACCCTGAAGAACCCAGTTTTCATCACTTTTGGGTGCACACAGATGACAAATGATGACAAATGGAACCAAATACACAAGTACTTGGAAAGAATATACACTTCAGAGACTATCTACATAGGTAATTTTTCCTTTTAACTGTTTACCCCAGGTAACAAACAAATCCTTCATTCAAAAATTCTTTTTCCACTGATTCTTGAATAAAGGTCAAAGTAGAAAAACTTTTTAGTAAAGTTATATAGACAAATTGATAACTAGCATCTAAAAATGATGCTCAAAGAACCTAGACGATTTAATTAGCTGCCTGTTAAGCCTCAGTTCATATCTGTAAAAATGGGAAGAATAACACTCAAAGGGATTTTGTAACTATTCAGTAAGAAAATGTATATAAAGTGTTTAGCACAAAATAAATGCTTAACAAATAGGAGCCATTTATGTTAAATAGAATAATATGGACTGACTAGTGGTAATCAGAAATAAGTTATTAAAATATAGTCCTGAAAGTAAGAACTGAGGGGGAGTTAAGTCAAAATTAACTGGATTTCTTTTGACAACACTGTAGATATTTCTACCGCAGCATGTGAGACTACCTACTGCCCTTTCCTCCTGCTGGCACACAATATTTTAAATGATGAAGTAGCTTTTCAACATGGTTCAGGGAAATTTGTGAATACTTGGTCATTTTTCTGAAGTTACTGTAACAGTACCCATAAACCCCTCAAGCCAGCACTGTTCTCTGATCTGAGGAAATTGCTTTAGTGAATCATGTAAAAATTCTCAAGAGTAAGCCACACAGAAATTTTGATCAATATATTTTATGGGAGAAATTGCACTTCTGGATAATGAATCTTTTCCACATAGATATACAGTTTGGAACAAAATTTCGACCATGCTTAGAATTACACAATTGCTGTGAATCAATTAAACTGGCAGAGATGAAGAAGTGAGTGGGGTTTTATTTCTTTATTTGTTTCAAATCTTGTTGTTTTTGCAAATAAATTATTAAAATATAAGAACTAGGAAAAACATTTTAAGGTTTTAGAAATTATATACCCTTGTTTATAATGATTCGAATAGGTTTAATTCAATTAAATTAATCCATGTGTTTATTGGATTGGCTAATATGTAACAATAAGACATAATTCTTGCTCTCAAGGAGCCAGTAACACAGTACAGGAAAGAAATGATAACACAAGCAATATCTTCAGTAACAAATCAAATGAGATGTGCAAAGCACCATATGTGAAATACAAAACATTATGGTGCTGGAGGCGAGATGATGCTTCATTGAGGAGGTATAGTTGACCTGGGCTTTGGAGGTTCAGTAAAATTTGCATGCTAGAAGTGGACATTCCACTTGTCAGAAAAGGCATATGCAAAGACACAGAGAAGGAAACACATGGCAGATTAAGGAAACAAAAGATAGTCAATTTTGGCTAAAGCACAGGGTACAGGGAATCATACATAATAAGTTGAAATGTTAGAGTAGGGCCATATGTGAGTATCACATCCCTTAAGTTGTAGGCAAATGACTCATTGTACTGAGAGGGGATCGTGAATATGACGAGGACAGCAAATAGGTTGAGAGTAACTGCTCTAGGTAGTGGAAAAGGATAGCTTTATTCCACAGAAAGGCTGATTGCTTCTGAGCAGAGGATTGACATGATCAGGGAGTTAGGAGACTATTGTAATTCACTAGGCAGAAATAAATGAAGGCCAGTATCTTGTAAAATATGCAAGTTGAACCCATGAATAGAACCTCTGTCCCCTCCTCAAAGCACACTACAATGACAGTAAAGGGGTACTTCAGAAAGATGACCAAGTATTCACAAATTTCCCCGAGCCATGTTTAAAGTATGAACCAATCATAGTTTATTCCGAGGATTTACACAAGTCTTCAGTTTTTCAACATAGACTGCAGACTATAATTTTTAGAGGAAATAGTCCCCCTTCCCCCACTTTTTGGTTTCTTTGGTGGCAAAAATTAAATTTTGTTGCATCAAAAATTTTTTAAAAATATGAACCAACAAGGACAAGGGAAGTGGAAAGAAACTGATAATAAAGATTTGGAAGCTGTCAAAGTAGGTGGATAAACAAAAAATTAACAATCTGGGATGAATGAAGAGTGAAAAATAATTCGAGTTATATGGCAGAATTCTTGGCACCAAGAACATGGGTGAATTTGGGGCTATAAACAGAAGAATTAATTGAAAGTTTGTTTAGAAAGAAGATGGTCCCCTCTATTCTTTCCTTTATTGCATCCCCCTCTCTTAACCATGCAAAATAACAGAGATTTATTCTCTGAGAATGGTAAAACAGAGGGTCTTTGGGATGGGGAGTGGCAGGCAGATTTGATGGCAAGATTACTGGTTGAAATTGGGCCATTAAGTGAAAATTTACTCTGAATCTGAGATGTTCAGCTTTCCTTCTCCTCTTGTTTATTATAATGCTGTTAGGGAGGCTTATATCATTCAGGTAAAAACTGGAGATTATTCCCTGGTTGGAATGTGACCAGCAAAAATAAAAATTTTGAAGACATTGATGTCATCAGCTGTTTTCCCCCAAATCTCATCTGGCCCTCTGGAATTACCCTTTATTCAGGCTCCTCACTGACAGTGTCACCTTATTCATTCAAGGTTTCCAAACTGCCCATCCGGGGGCCATTCTTAAATATCAGCTGACCCAGCACTTTGGGAGGCTGAGGCAGGCAAATCACTTGAGGCCAGGAGTTCAAGACCAGCTTGGCCAATATGGCTGAAACACTGTCTCTACTAAAAATACCAAAATTATACGGGTGTTGTTGTACACACCTGTAGTCCCAGCTACTCAGGTGGCTGAGGCATGATAATCACTTGAACCGAGGAGGCAGAGGTTGGAGTGAACTGAGATTGCACCACTGTATTCCAGCCTGGGCAACAGAGTGAGATGCTGTCTCCAAAAAAAAAAAAAAAAAAAAAAAAAAAGGTGAGAGATATGGGGCAGCAGCAGTAAAGAAAGAATAGGTAGGACTAGATGAGAGAGATGTGGTAAAATTAAATCAAAATAGGACTGGGCAATTGGTTGGATAAAGAAAGTAGGAAAAAAATGACAGGGGTTTCAGCCAGAGTAGCTAAGAGCACAATGAAGTCACTAACAGAATTAGGAAATCTAAAGAAGACATGCGAGGCAGATGAAGAGAGACAATGGAATATAATGGCTCAGAGTGTAAAGATCCAGCTTCCAGGCCTGATTCTGCCACCTTGTCCATGTGGCCTTGAGCAGACCACCTCACCTCTGTGAGCTGCAGTGTCCTTACCTATAGAGCAGGGGAGTCAGGGGAGCACAGTGGTGAAGAACACAGGCTCCAGAACTAGATTTCCCAGGTGCAAATATCAGCCAACACCATTCTCTGGCCCTATTTACTAGCCATGTATGTGGTTTAGACCATTCATCTAACTTTTGTATGCCTCAGTTTCCTCACCTGTAAAAATGGGGATAATAGTATCCTATATATCATCATATATTGTTGGGAGAATTAAATGAAAGTGAATTGTATTGTTTAACAATAGAAAATAAATAAAAATAAATAAAACACTTGATCAAGCATACATGGACTAAACTTGAAAAATAAGAGGCTGATATGGTTTGGCTGTGTCCCCACCCAAATCTCATCTTGAATTGTAGTTCCCATAATGCCCACATGTGATGGGAAGGACTCAGTGGGAGGTGACTGAATCATGGGGGTAGTTTTTGCCATGCTATTCTCATGATAGTGAATAAGTTCTCACGAGAGCTGATGATGAGATCCAGCTCTCATCCTTCTCCTTTCTGCCACCATGTGAAGAAAGACGTGTTTGCTTCCCCTTTCACAAACGTCCGTGATTGTAAGTTTCCTGAGGCCTCCCCAGCCCTGCAGAGTCCTGAGGCCTCCCCAGCCCTGCAGAACTGTGAATCAAACCTCTTTCCTTTATAATTTACCCATTCTCAAGCAGTTCTTTATAGCAGTGTGAGAATGGACTAATACAGAGGCCATGTGGAAGGATCAGTAGAATTTCTCCAGGTAAACACTAGGTGCCATAAACAGATCATGGCAAGAACTTGAGCCTTGAATCTGAACAAATCAGGGGTTGAGTCTTAATTCTCAAGCCATGTAAACTGGGGAAATTTGTGTCTCCTACTTAAGCCCATTCTTCCTTAGCTAGAAAACCCACAACAGTTCTATATAAATTAAAGTACATAATATGCACAATGTGCTCAACACAGTGCATATTATAGAATAGGCATTTGAATGTTCCATTGACTAGAGATGGTTTACACACATAATTGGGGGTGCCTATGACCATGAGCCTGTGTACACCTGGAGGTACAGCCATGTCCATGCCATCTGAAAGGTGAGCTGTTTTCCAGGGGTCAGTATCTTTCCTAGGTTTCCTCTTCCATCAGTCAGGCTTTCATCCTCTTAGAGTCCCTGTGCAGCCATAACTTTCTGATAAGTGCCCTTAATCAACGTCTACTCTGTAAGTGAGGTGAACTAATGACCTAGTTCACAGAGCCATGACCAGGTCCAATGTAATATTTATAAAGTAGCCATAGTATTTTGCATCTGCATACTGGGTCAATGCCAGTGCTATCTTTACACTCTTGGGAACATGGTTAGATTTGGGAGTCCTTTGGTTTGTTTGTTGGAATAATGAAGGAAACTTAAATCCTGGAGAAAAGTATAAGCTGACTTTCTATAGTTATATCCAGTAACTAAGAAAGCCCAGAAAACAGTTAGTTTTAATAGGCAAGATATGAAATCACCAGGGGTTGGTTGCAAAATTAAAAGGGTAAAAGTAGGAGCTCAGTACATTTGTTTCATTGAATGCCCAATCTCTTTACAACCCAAAGCATTGGTCTGTGTGCTGGAAAAAAAGAAAAAAAAGTTTAAATGACAACAAGATAAAACATAGTCCCTGGGTTAGGTTGACAGTCATAACTAACCACAAGTCAGGATCTGACATTAATTAGTATTATGGCAGAGTTGTTATATCATTGTAATCACTATCTTTTCTATTTGAATATTTCATGCTTCTTCAAAAAATGTTATAATATTTTTACATTTTGAAAAATATGTATGCAAGGAATCTAGTGCAACTCGCAGACTACGAATTATGCCCTCCAAAGTATCTGTGTAATCATAACTTTGGGCTTTGAAATCGTGTCTTTGAAGAAATGGAAAAAAAAAAAGGAAAATCCTTCATGTTCTACAGGATGTCACATTAAACAAACCAAACTTAGAGGAAGAGAGATGCAGAAAAAGAGAGGTACTTAAAATTGCTTCATTGTCCATCAAAAACTAAATTCTGCATTTGTCTGTTTCCAGTAAAACACAGTATGATATGAAGCTGTGGAACTTATGCTCCATTTTATGCTTTAAGTTTCACTCTACTGGTAGGAATTCAGCTGATTCTAGAGAAATTGATTAGGGTTAAACCAATTCTCAGTACATACTAATGACCCTTAAGGTTTTATATGTGGAAGAGATGTGGCCCAGCCAAAGTTAGTCAACAGGATCAGAGTGGCCTCCAGTGCTAGGCAATATTTTATGTATAATGCAAAGTTTTCCACAGTAAAAAATGCATTACTTAGATTCAGTAAGACATGTGAGGCATGGGGAAGGAGCATAGAATTGGCAGTGGAGGTAGACAATTCATGATTTGTGACTTAGGCCAACACTTAAAGTATCAGTTCCCTTATGTGTAAAATGAAGATGACATTACTTTGTGGGCCTATTGTGAAGGCTCTATGATTAAACATATAAAATGTACCCAACCCAGGGTCTGGCACACAGTTAGAACTCAATAAATTTTAGTTATTTTGTTTATTTATCTTTGAGTGGAAAAGTGAAACTTGTCCTAAATAAAAGGCTGTAAAACTGATTTTGTCAGCCTAAAAGTAGAGAAGGGCTTACCACTGTACACATCAGCTCTTTTCCATTCTATTATGGCCAGAGAGGTGAGCATCCATTGGCCCTGCTAGCTTTAATCTCCACAACTGTTTTAGCAGGGGAGGAGTGAGAAAGGCAGCCTTGGTAAAATGCCAGACACTCTTGGATGCTCAATTGATATTAATTAATCCTCAGTAGCAGCATTTTGGCAGCGGATCTTGACTTGTGTGACCTTTCATGCTGGATGGAATTACACTCAAATGATTCTTTTTCTCAGCCAAGCCCTTTAGAACCTTCTTAGACTGTTGGCAGAATTCCATGAGCACTACAGTTTCCTGAGAATTCTGCAGTTGGCACCCTAAATGTGTTAGTGCTAAATAAATAGAAGGTGAGACATTATCTATCCAATTTTGGTGGTAGGAGATAGCCAAATAAGTGTTATAAAGATGCAAAAATTATCTGCTGAGCTCTGGTGATGACCAGGAGGATGGATTTATAGTAGTCTCCAGCCTCCTGCCATCAATTATTCCCAAAGCCTGTGGTTATTCAGCATGGCCACTCACCACGACAAGGAATATTGCTGGCAAAACAACCGCTTCTCTCAGAGGATAAGCAGCTTAAATTTAGTGCCTTGGGTAGCATCAGATTTACATTTAGTTTTTAGTCCCCCCTTACTTTTTCTCCTGCTGTTTATGAAAGGGCTTCTTATGTGATTTTTATTCTCTGTTTGAAATGAAGGCAGCAGGAGTTAGTCTCAAAGCTGAAACAAGAATTGACACTTCTCACCCTACCTGGGCCTCTTTGTGCTGAGATGATAGTGCCCATGTAATCACTGTGCCTATGGACTCCCACCAGGAATTAGCGCAAACTGCTCTAATCATCTTTTACATCCCTATAACTGTATTTTCTTGTATATGATGTTTAATGTAATGTAAAAATCTACTGTGAAGATGATTCTCAGGAACTTGGTAATAATAGTATTAATTTTGTAATTAGAGATACTGTTACTACTGTTAATGCTATTTCTTTCCTGGAACTACAGCACTTATCATAATATGTTTAAATGGTAAATTTACTTTTCTCTCTCCTCCACCATACTTTAAGATTTTTTTTTTCATTGTATCCCCAGCACTTGGAATTATGACTGGTACAGAGTAAACTGTTCAATAAATATTTGTTGCATGAGTGAATGATGAGGTACTGGAACATGAATGATAGTAACGTAGCCAAGACTTTACAGAGTTAACCTGATTAAAATTAGTATTTTTCACATGTTCCACCCACCTCCAACCTGTTCTTGGCTAACTCCAATTTATCCTTTAGATAAATGAGTTTCTCAGGGAAGCCTTCTTTCATGTTCTTCATCTTGCTGGTAAGCATTATGAGTACAAAGACCATGATGATTTTGTTTAACATAGTATTCTCAGCACTCAGTAGAGAATCTGGCATGTTTTAGACACACAAAAAATATTTGTGAAATAATACTCCGTGCTCTGATTTCTCCTCTTTTCTACCCATACTATCAAATTGTCTTGCATTCGTCATATTTCATTTAGAGCATGTCCATTATCTTCTTGTTGGACTTTCTACAGTCACCTTCTCCCTGCTATAACTGGTATTGGACACAGCTGCCAAAATAATTTTCACCAAACTGTGCTCAGGCTAATACTTTCTGTTCCCAAATTGCTTTTAAATTACAGTGATTTATTTATTAAGGTATAAACAAGAACTTGTACTCCCCATTTTCTTTTGAAATCTCATTCTTCTATAAAAGTTTTTTGTACTATAGCCATGGTCTGAATGTATGTGATCCTCTAAAATTTGTATGTTGGAACTTAATTCCCAATGTGACAGAATTTGAAGTGATTAGGCTTTGAGGACAGAGCCCTCATGAATGTTAGGATTAGTGCCCTCACAAAATAGGCTTGAGGGAGACTGCCCTTTTCACCAAGTGAGCACAATAGAAGGTGCCATCTGTGAGGAATGGACCCTCACCAGATGCTGCATCTCCTGGCACCTTGATCATAAACTTTCTAGCCTCCAGAATTGTGAGCAATATTTGTGTTGTTTATAAATTAACTAGTCTAGTATTTTGTCATAGTAGCCAAAATGGACTCAGACAGCCACTCTACTTTGTCTTTGAATTTATCTATACTTCTGTCTAGCTGTCCCCAGCTTCTCTTGTCTTTCCCTCAGTCATGAAGTTTCAGGTCTGCAGAACCATGTTTATATTGCACATATCATGTGCTTACATGAGTGAAAATGACCCAGGAATGTTTTAGCTCCATGAAAGATGAACTCTCAATATGAAACAGCAAATTGCAGGAGAAAATAAACCAAAGAAAGAAACAGAGAGTTTTGAAATTATTGAATAATATGAATGAAACTATAAAATAACTACATGTGTTAGTCTGTTCTGATGCTGCTAAAAAGACATGCCTGAGACTGGGTAATTTATAAAGAAAAGAGGTTTAATGGACTCACAGTTCCACATGGCTGGGGAGGTGTCACAATCATGGCAGAGGGTGAAGGGGAAGCAAGACACATCTTACATGGTGTCAGGCAAGAGAGCGTGTGCAGGGGAACTGCCATTTATAAAATCATCAGATCTCAGGAGACTTATTCACTATCATGAGAATAGCATGGGAAAGACCCATCCCTGTGATTCAGTTGCCTCCCACCTTGTCCCTCCCACAATATGTGTGAATTATGGGAGCTACAATTCAAGATGAGATGTTGGTGGAGACACAGCCAAACTATATCAGTATATTTAAGCAGATTATAGAAATAAAGGGCTTCCTGTGACTTCAGCAAGGAAGAGGGAGCTAAGGAGAAATCAGGGGTTGGGGCCCCTACCATGCTGTGTCACTGCTGCTTTGCCGATTCTCTGAGCTGGAATGGGGAGACACAGAGGAGTGAGTCTTGGAGATGAGTGGCAGAACCTTGGAGATGAGTGGCAGAACCTTGGAGATAAGTGGCAGTTGGGTGATGGAAGATCAGGATAAACTCAGCAATGTCAGCAGCAGCATCCCTTGGCTGCTGGAAGTGAAGGGGCCAAAGCCCGGTAAGAATTAACACAAAAATCAGAGGCCTATGCTTGAAGTCTGAAGAAATCTGTCAGTCAAAATATTTCACTAGGGCTTGAATGCTGTTCAAAATATGTGGTGATATTTGTGGTCTATCTATTATATATCTTAAAATTTTATTTTATTTTTAATTTTTGGCCTTTTTTGAGTATGATCGTTTGCCTTGAAAAACAGCTACTGTTTCTTGGAGAATAGAAGATGGAGAAATACATGGTTCATTTACTAGAGACTATCAGTGTACTGTTGGCCTAAAAAAACCAACTATTCAGATAGTTTTTTCTTCAGAAAGGAAATTATGAATATCAGTAGAACTAATGGATTTTATAACGAATATAAAAGAAGACACACTATTCAATTATGAAAAATTTCCAGAGTAACTTTTTACAAGTGTAGGTATCATAGATGAGACATTCCAATATCATGAAATCTTTAATCCCAAAATCTTTACAAATCGATGGAGCAACTTCAACAAATTGTAAGACCAACTTATATACCAGAGCAAACTCTTTTTTGTGATATTTTGTGAACTGTTCCTAGAAAGATGTCTCAGTCTGGGGTGAAAATGATGAGGAATATCTTTTCTATTTAGATCAGAAGTAGCTGCAAAACATTTCCATACAAAAGATTTGAACTTACACAGAAAGCTTTTCAGTTGATTAAAGATGGTTATGAATTTCACCAAACTATTGTGGAGAATTTGATAATTCAGGTGCCATGATAAATGTGAAAGAAATGCTTGTTTCTATTCTTTCTGTATTTTTAAAGTTTCAGGAAAAATAAAGCCAAATTTCAATAGTTTCATAATACCACCAAATGGTATAATCAAACACCAAGTGATAAACAAAAATGTCAATTTAACACTGCTTAGTTGGGACTTTCAATACAAAATGTCTAACTTTCATTTTAAAAACTGTGATGTATACTAGTTTTTTTGTGCTCCTTTCCATATTTTTCGTTTGATAAATGGCGGTTACTGGTTATCACATGCAAATAAAAGATTTTCTCCATTCTCAAGTATAACATTTCTTATCAAATCAAATTGTCTATTCCATTTGTAAACAACTTTATTTTCTGAAAGATTACAACTGTACTCTCCAAGAGGTAAATATATAATTGGTTTTCTTTCATCTTTAAATTCAGTGCAACTCATTAATTTAAAACTCCTTTTTCCCTAGTTTGTGGATGCTTAATGCTAATTTGTGTATGTCAAAAGATGCATACATCCTACAAAAACCATGTTAAATTTACTTTTATTCTTTAAAGTTTGTTAAGTTATGTTAGCCCAACATGTGGTCTATCTTGATGACTATTCTATGTGACTTTGAGAAGAATGTGTGTTTCGCTGTTTGATGAAGCATTCTATAAATGTTAATTATATCCAGTTGATTGATTTAGTTCAACTACATCCTCACTGATTTTTTGCCTACTGTATTTGTCAATTATTGATTAGACAGATGTGGAAATCCAATTATAATAGTGATTCATCTATTTCTCCTTCAAGTTCTGTTACTTTTTGCCTTATGTATTTTGATGCAGTGTTGTTAGATGCTACACCTTAAGGATAGTTGTGTGTTCTGAAATAATTGATATTTTATCATTATGCAATCTCCCTTCTTATCCCTCATAATTTTCTTCACTCTGGAAGTTTACTTTGTCTGAAATTGATGTAACTATTCCAGCTTTCTCTTGATAAGTGTGTAGTAAGGTATCTCTTTCTCCATCCCTTACTTTTTAATCCATGTCTTTGCATTTAAAGTAGTTTTCTTATAGACAAGATATAGTTGGATCTTGTTCTTTTAAAATCTACTCTTACATAGCCTTTGCCTTTTAATTGGTATATTTACATCATTCACATTTAAAGTACGTATTTATATAGTTGGTTTAGTATATATCATATTTGTAACTGTTTTCTATTAGGTGATCTACTCTTTGTTTTTTCATCTTCCAGTCTTTTCCTTTAATCTCCAGTTTTAATTTAGCATTTTATGATTCTATTTTTTCTCCTGTCTTAGCATATAAGTTCTAAATTTACAACAAATCTAAGTCCACTTTGAAATAAAACTATAACAGTTTATGAGTAATGCATGTACTTCCCTCCATCCCTTATAATATAGTTGTCATTAATTTCATTTATCTTTAAGCTATAATCATGGAATATATTGTTGCTATTGTTATTTTGAGAAAATTTGTATCTGTTAGATCAATTAAGAATAAAAATATTTTATTTTCATTTATTTTTATCTGATACTCTTCCTTTCTTTATGTAGATACAGATTTGACCTACATAATTTTTCTTCTCTCTGAAGAACTTTTAAGATTTCTTGCAAGGCAGGTATACTGTTGACAAATTTTCTCAATTTTTGCTTCTCTGAGAAAGTTATTTTTTCTTTACTTTTGAAGGGTAATTTTAGAGATTAAATAATCTAGGTTAATGATTTTTTTTCTTTCAACACATCAAATATTTCATTTCACTCTTTTCTTGCTTGCATGATTTCTGAAGATTAATCTGAATGTCATTCTTATGTTTATTCCTTTACAGATTAGGTAATTTTCTTCTTTGGGTTCTTTTCTAACATGTTTCTTGATCTTTGGTTGTTGAATGTGAATGTAATATGCTGAGGTGTAGATATTTTTGTATTTATCCTGCTTAGTGTTCTCCGAGCTTTCTGGATCTTTAGTTTTTTGCTTGCCGCAAATTTCAGAAAATTATTAGCCATTTTTAAACGGGAGAATATCAATGACAGAAAAATATCTTAAAATCAACAAAAGAGAAAAGATAGCTTATATACAAATAGTGACAACTACAGAGCAACATTTCTTATATGAAATAGGTACTTGAATACAATGTGTTTATTAATGAGCTTGGGCTTAATGGATTACTGGAATAAGATGCAAGGAATAGGAGTGAGTTGAAAATGTTAACTGTTACATACAGCTAAGAATCTTTTGGTTCATGGAATTATTGTTCCAGACTTCTCATCCTTCCCTGTATCCATATCTTTTGATATGGGATTTTGTGGTTTCTCAAAATAGAAGTGGAATATATTTCCATGGCCCATTGGATGTGTGACTTTGGCCAATAGAATATGGACAAGAATAAAATATGCCCAGTTCAGATGCCAAATCTTAAGAGGCACTGTGTATTTCCACTTACCTTTTTGTGCTTCTATCATTGCCAGGAGAAGATTATGCTCTGTGTAGTCTGTTGGTCCCAGAAAAATGAGAACAACGTGGAACACACTTAAATCAATTCCACAGTCGGCAGCCAAGTATAGATGAGCTTGGAAGAGCCATTCAAGCAGCCCTACAAATGGGTGAACCATATAAAATATTGTTGTTTGAAGACATTGAGTTAGGATCTTTTTGAAGCATTATTACTACAACAGCTAACTGAAACCAAAGGGCTAGACTCTCAGATTAAGGCAAAAGAAAGCATGTTCCTTTTGGCAGATGGAGAAAAAAATTTCTAAAATTTAACAATTATGATGTAATTCTTAGCAAACTAGGAATAGAAGGGAACTTTCTATAGTTCTACAAGGGGTACAAAGAGTATCTACAAAATAATAAAAAATAAGACTATAGCACATAAGATACTTAAGGGAGAAAAGTTGTAAGAATCTTTTGTATGGTAATAGATAGCACAGGGACAGACGCTCACTACACCACATCTAATCTACATTGAACTACAGGACTGAGTCAAAAGACCCCAAGACCACTCTCAGGCTTGATGATTCACTAGAAAGAATCACAGAACTCAAAAAAACTGTGGTGTTTACAGCCACATTGTACTACAGACAAAGGATACAGGTTAAAATTAGCAAAGGGAAAAAGTAGAAGGGGTGAAGTCCACGAGAAACTCAATTTCTCCCTGGTAGTTCAGTTCAATCATTTCAGCCATTAGGGTAATTCCCCTTTTTGTTTATTGCTTCAGTGGCATAAGACATGCCAAATGGCCAGGTAAAAGTCTCAGCTTTGACATCAGTGGATTCATTTTTGTGTTCCCAGTGGAACCATTCCCCTCAGACCTGCAGTTCTGATGTTCTGTGGCATATTAGTGAGAAGGTTTACTCTACTTTCACTCGTTGATTCTTGGACCATATATTTTGAATATAGGGTAGAAAACACCATGTATTTGTCTCCTGTAAGACAAAGAGGGTGTGGTCTTCCACATGAAGCTATTTTTAATAAGCCAATTCATCTTTCTCTGAGTCCAACCACTTCTGGAAGATGAAGTATGTTGTATGACCAGTTAATTCTTTGTTCATAAACCCATTGCTGCAGTTCTTTACTGTAGAATAATTTGAAGCAATGCTTTGCAGAATACCATGATGGAGAATAAGGCATTCTGTGAATTCATAGGTGGTGATATTGGCAGAAACATTGTGGACAGGGAAAGAAAATCCATCTCCAAAATATTTGTCTATTCCAGTGAGGATGAATCTCTACCTCTTCAAAATTAAAGGGGCCTAATGTAATCAACATGCAATCAAATGGCTGGCTGTTCCTCCCAAGGAAAGATGATATATTGAGGGCTCAGTATTGATCTCTGTTGTTGGATTCAACATTCAACAGCAATTGTAGCCAGGTCACCTTTGGCAAAAATAAGTCCATGTTGTTAAAACCACATATACTGTCTATTTCTTGCAGCGTGGCTACTTTTTTCTTAGGCCTATTAAGCATGCTCTGGGGTATCTGGGGAAAGGAGTGACTGACAGTCACAGAATGTGTTATTTTGTTCACTTAATTAGTGATTGCTTCTTTTGCAGTGGATGTCCTTTGGTGAATATTTTTTTAAATGGGACACAGCCATTTTTTCTCTTTGAGGCCATTCTGAGTGGTCTATTCACATAACATTTTCCCAGACTTTTTGTTACTGATATTCCAACCCTGTTCTTTCAAAGTCTCTGATTCATCCATTTAAACAATTAGCAACAACGTACGCACCAGTGTAGATCTTTACTTTTGGCTTTCTTTCAATTCAGTAGACAATCAAATGTCCCATTGAAGTTCTATAATTTTTTTTATTTTGCCACTGCCCATTAGGTCCAATTCTGTAGTTATCTTTCCCATTTTCAAACCAGGATTGAGTTTTTATTCCTCAGTCAACCGGTAATAAGAAACTACACATGAGGTTATAGGAGTAGATTGAAGGACAGGAGGCAATGAAGAAGTCAGTGTAAAAGGAGATTGATCCACCACTGCCTGAGCCCAGTCTTTTTATATCATTTTTATTTGATGTAGACTGAAGGCTACAGAAATGTTTGATAAAACATTGACTTGAAGATAAAATATTTGTAAAAGTCCAGTTAGGAGATTAACATTATAGTAGCAATGATGACAAACAACATTGACCGCAGCGTGTGATAGATTCTATTAGAGTGCACTTGAGTACTTAGAGAAAGAAAATAAGCTTGGCTCAAATCACAGTTTGAGAGACAGAGAATTCCACAGCATTCCTAAAAGATTCCTAATTTCTTGAAGTTACAGGGCAGATACTACTGAAAAATCATCTCTTTCTCCTCAAATTGAGGCTTTTCCCTCAGACACCTTCTATTGGCAGAGCCTAGTATCAAATCAGCTGGCAAAGAAATAAAGGAGTTTGCAGAATTTAGATCTAGCACCACAAAGTAAGGAAAAGGCAAGTGGGTTTGGCTCTGAGAGACAATAAAATATGGGCTTGAGACAACCCTATAGCTGGAACATATAACCAGTTTGAAATTGAAAGAAGTAAATCCAATTTTAACTGGAAAAATATCATAGATTGCTCTGTGATTCATAAGAACTTTGACGTTTGTGTAGAAAGGGGTGAAAAGAAATTTATGATTTAAATACTTAGCTTTGTAATCATTTTTTTAAGTATAGAAATCATAACCTTAAAATAGTGATAAATGTAGATCACCACCAATTTATGCAATTTCAGAGATGAAAAATATTTTCTTGTTTGTTTGTTTGCTAGTCCATCTTACCTTTGGCATGTCTGGATTACAGAGTATTTGTATTAGTCTACCGAATTCAAGCCAAAATCCTTTATTTTGGGATTATGTGCTTACATGAGAGTAGAATAAGGACTTAAGGAGAGGTTGATTAAGTAAAGTCAATTTTGAAAAAATATTTAGCCACAAGATTGCTGTTTTTTTATTGGGCAAGTGTACTGACTCCTTGAGCTCTTGGTTGTCTTATCAACAAAAGTTTTAAGGTCTAGTAACTTTATAACTTCACACCTATGAAAGTACCTCATAGGATTGTCCCCACTTTATACTGGAAATAGAAGAGGTATCTGTCAGAATAATATAATCAGAACCACATTTCCAGTTACTTGTTTTATCAGTCAAGTGGTAAAGAAGAGAATAACAAAATTGTCTTTTAAGTAACCCTTATTACAAACTTTTAATTCTGAGAATATGTAGATGCACCAGTGTTTGTGGGTTTTATAGTAATGGGCCAGGTTATCATTTGTAGAGATTTTTCAACTGTCATTTTTAAATGTATGAGAAATGTCACAATAGAAGATTTGGAGAGTATTAAGCTCATTAAAAGGCATAGAAGAATTGGACAGTATTTAGCTCATTAAAAGGCAGAAACAGTAAAATACTAAATATCTTTTTAAAAGATTTAGCTGTAGCACTTGTGAATTTCTAAGTTTTCAAACTCAATTATTTTCACATCCATATTCATGATGATGTAGTTTATCTGTAAATGCTACCCACTAGGTTTATTTTGGATGCTCTTGCTAACACCCTGACAAGCACTGAACTTGTAAAGTCGTCTTTACAACTCAGTAATGTGGAACAAAAGATTTGGCGTGGGGATAGGGAGAAGGCAAGAAAAAAAATGATACTGAGGGAAAGGGTCAGATATTAATGTTCAAATATCAACAGGAAAAGATTTCAGTGGTCAGACATGAATCAGAAATTTGGGGAAATAAAAATCACAAAATACACTAGTGATTGGGGCACAAGATATTTAATTCACTGTGTTAAATTACACAGTTATTTCAGAGAAGAAAAAAATTTCCAACTGTATTAGAAATATAGTTCTCAAAGATTGTTTGAGATGTTTCTCAAAAATTGAGATATACTTATCAAAGATTATACCTTAAAAGGGTGCATTTGCCTCTTTATTTAAAGAAATGGATATGTCTAAGATCACTGAAGGATTAATAATCATGCCTTTTGACCTAGGACTTCAGTTTCGATTAGTGTATTTTCTCTCATTTCTGTGAAAAGAGAGACATTATGATAGAATGATAAAAATATTAAACATGAAAACTAGATTTTGGTGACTTTTAGGGCAATCTCTTTAGATACAACTTAATTCAATCAACAGGAGGGCATAGGGAAACCTACTCCGCTTATTAATTTAATTTTCTATTTCTCATGTCACCATTTTTTCAGCTTTTTCTTTTCAAAATGCTGACATTTGGGATAGATGTTTGTGTACGTGAAAGAAAGAATAGAAAGAAAGAATTTGTCTAATGTTTAAAACTGATCATAATCTGTAAAATAGTTTCTTTTTGCAATCAATAACATTAGTAACATTTTAAAAAGTACATTCAAATATGTCTAAAAGTAACAATATCAGTTAACAATTATATCACCAATTTGTTCATTAAATTGGGGAAGTGAGAAGTTTGGATTATTCTTCCATTTTATATTACACTTAACAGAATAGATGACATGTGTAAACTCTTTCTGTGTTTAATTTTTTTAAGAAGAAAAGTGAATTTTTAAAATGATTAAGAAACAGTTATCACACCAATGTTCATCATGAAACTGGTCCAATTTTTCCATAGAACTGAAATTTGAGAAACTTAAATTTGTCTTATCTGAGTTCCTTTGACTGCCAGGTCTCCTGGGTGGTAGTGGGGAACTAAGGCTTTCCAGATCACCACACCAGACAGTAAGATATACCTGCTGCCTGTTGATTGGCTTGTCTTTCTTACTTCTCTCTAATTTCCATTTTCCACATGTGATTACAGAGAGATGCTAGACCCCCTCATTTGACTACCTGATGCCTGTTGACCAACTCCTTTTCCTTAACCCTACTGTTTTCCTTCCATGCTATATATTAATAAAGCTCCAACTTTAGTCAGGGGAGAGAGATGGATTAGAGACTGGTCTTCCGTCTCTCTGGCTGACATCACACATCATAATGCCTTTCTTCTCTTACAATACTCCTTGTTTCAGTTATTGGCTTTCTGTGCAGGAAATAACAGGACCTAGGCCAAATACCTGGCATTCGGCAGCAATAGCAGCATTATTCACAATAACCAAAAGGTGGGACAGCCCAAATGACCATCAACAGATAAATGAATGACAAAATGTGATTTATACATACAATGATATATCCAGTCATCAAAAAGTATAAAGTTCTGACACATAGTATACCATGGATGACCCTTGAAAACATGCTAACTGAAATAAGCCAGCCAAAAAACGACAAATACTGTATGGTTCCACTTGTATGAGGTACCTAAAGTAGTCAAATTCATGGAAACAGAAAGTAGAATAGTGGTTCTCAGGGGCTGGGGGAAGGAGGAATAGGGAGTTATTGGTTAATGTGGTTTTCTCTTTGGGAAGATGAGAAAGTTCTCAAGATGAATGGTGGTGATGGGCACAACAATGTGAATGTGATTAATGCCGCTGAACTGTACACTTAAAAAATGGTTAAAATGGTAAATTTATATATAGTTTTAAATTTCAGCTTTTATTTTTGATACAGGGGATACACATGCAGGATTGTTAGATAGGTCATAAGTGTAGTACCCAATAGGTAGTTTTTCAACCCATGCCCCCCACCCTCCCTCTCTTCTCTAGTATTCCATGGTGTTTATTATTCCCATGTTTATGACCATATGTGCTCAATGTTTAGCTCCCACTTATAAGAGAGAACATGTGATATTTGGTTTTCTGTTCTTGAGTTAATTCACTTAAGATTATGGCCTCCAGCTCCATCCATATTGCTGCAAAGGACATGATTTCATTATTTCTATGGTTGCATAGTGTTTTATAGTATATATGCACATTTTCTTTATTCAATCCACCATGATGGACACCTGGGTTGATTCCATGTCTTTCCAGTGTGAATAGTGTGATGATGAACATATGAGTGCGTGGTTCTTTTTGGTATAATCATCTATTTTCCTTTAGGTACATGTCCAGTAATGGGATTACTGCCTGTGTTTTAAGTTTTTTGAGAAACTTCCAAACTTCTTTTCACAGCAGTTGACCTAATTGACATTCCTACCAACAGTGTATAAGCATTGGTTGTTTTTTGACTTTTTAATATAGTTATTTTGACTGGTATGAGATGGTATCTCATGGTGGTTTTGATTTGCATTTCTCTGATGATTAGTGATGATGAGTGTTTTGTAATATGTTGGTTGGCTATTGTATGTCTTCTCAGAGAAGTGTCTGTTCATGTTCTCTGCGCATTTTTTAGTGATTTTTTTTCTTGTTGATTTGTTTAAGTTCCTTATAGATTCTGGATATTATTAGACCTTTGCATAGTTTGTAAATATTTTCTCCCATTCTGTAGGTGGTCTGTTTATTCTGTTGATGGTTTATTTTGCCATGCAGAATAAATGTTAAATTTCAGTTCTTTAGTTTAATAGGTCCTTTGCAACAAAAATGAAATTGACAAATGGGACCTAATTAAAGAACTGAAATTTGAGGAACGAATTCCCCAAAAGCAATTCCAAAAAAAAAAAAAAAAAGTGAAATTGGCAAATGAAATTAAATTAAAGAACTGAAATTTCTCATGAATTAGTTAGTTTCTCATGAACTAGTTTCTCAAATTTCAGTTCTTGAGTTTAATTAGGTACCATTTGTCAACTGCATTTTTTTGTTGTTGTTGCAATTGCTTTTGGAGAATTAGCCAAAAATCCTTTGCCAAGACCGACGTCAAGAGCAATATTTCCTATGTTTTCAACTAAGATTTTTATAGTTGAAGGTCTTACATTTAAGTATTTAATCCATCTTGCTTTAATTTTGGTATATGGTGAAATGTAAGGGTCTAGTTTCATTCTTCTTCATATGGCTAGGCAGCTATCGCAGCACCATTTATTTAATAGGGAATCCTTTCCCCATTGCTTTTGTTGACTGTGTTGAAGATTAGATGGTTGTAGATGTGTGACATTATTTCTGGGCTCTCTATTTTATTTCATTAGTCTGTTTTTGTAATAGTACCTTGCTCTTTTGGTTACTGTAGCTTTGTAGTATAGTTTGAAGTTGGGTAATGTGATGCCTCCAGCTTTGCTCTTTTTGCTTAGGATTGCCTTGTCTATTTGAGCTCTTTTTTGGTTCCACATGAATTTTAAAAGTTTTTTCTAATTCTGTGAAGAATTTCATTGGTAGTTTGATAGGAAGAGCATTGAGTCTGTGAAATGCTTTGGGCAGTATGGCCATTTTAATGATATTTATTCTTCCAATCCATGAGCATTGCATTTTTTCCCATTTATTTGTGTCACATGTCATTTTTTTCAGTAGTGTTTTGTAGTTCTCCCTATATGGATCTTTCACCTCCTTGGCTAGCTGTATTCCTAAGTATTTCATTTTGTTTGTGGCTATTGTAAAAGAGACTGTGTTCTGGGCCGGGTGCGGTGGCTCACGCCTGTAATCCCAGCACTTTGGGAGGCCGAGGTGGGCGGATCACAAGGTCAGGGGATCGAGACCATCCTGGCTAACACAGTGAAACCCCATCTCCACTAAAAAATACAAAAAAATTAGCCAGGCGTGGTGGCGGGTGCCTGTAGTCCCAGCTACTCAGGAGGCTGAGGCAGGAGAATGGCGTGAACCTGGGAGGTGGAGCTTGCAGTGAGCCGAGATCGGGTCACTGCACTCCAGCCCGGGCGACAGAGCGAGACTCCGTCTCAAAAACAAAAGAGACTATGTTCTGGATTTGACTCTCAGCCTGGATTTTATCATTCTACAGAAATGCTACTGATTTTTGTACATTGAGTTTGTATCCTGAAACCTTGCTAAAATCGTTTATCAGTTCTGGTAGCCTTTTGGCAGAGTCTTTGGGGTTTTCTAAGTATAGAATAATATCATCAGCAAAGAGAGATAGTCTGACTTCTCCTTTTCCTATTTGGATACTTTTTATTTCTTTCTCTTGTCTAATTGTTCTCTCTAGGACTTCCAGTATTGTGATGAATAGGAGTGGTGAAAGTGGGTGTCCTTGCCTTGTTCTAGTTCACAAGGGGAATGGTTGTAGGTTTTGCCTTTTCAATATGATTTTGGCTGTGAGTTTGTCATAGACAGCTCTTATTATTTTGAGGTATGTTCCTTCGATGCCTCGTTTGTTGAGAGTTTTTTTCATGAAGAGATACTGGATTTTCCTGAAAGCTTTTTCTGCATCTATCGAGATGATTATATGGTTTTTGCTTTTAATTGTGTTCATGTGGTGAATCACAATTATTGATTTGTGTATATTGAACCAACCTTGCATCCCAGGAATAAAGCTTACTTGATCATGGTGAACTAACTTTTTGATGTGCTGCTGGATTGGCTTTGCTAGTGTTTCGTTGAGGTAATTTTTAATCTATGTTCCTCAGGGATATTTTCCTGAAGTTTTCTTTCTGTGTTGTGTCTCTGCCAGATTTTGGTATTTAGCTGATGCTGTCTTCAGTTAGGGAGGAGTCTCTCCTCCTCAATTTTTTGGGAACAGATTGAGTAGGATTGATAACAGTTATTCTTTGTAAATCTGGTAGAATTAGGCTGTGAATCCTTCTGGTCCAGGGCTTTTTTTGTTGGTAGGTTCTTTATTACTGATTCAATTTCAGAGCTTGATACTAGTCTATTCAGAGTTTCAATCTCTTCCTCATTCAATCTTACAAGGTTGTGTGTTTCCAGGAATTTATCCATTTTCTCTAGGTTTTCTAATTTGTGTGCAAAAAGTTGAATAGTATTCTCTGAGGAGCTTTTGTATTTCTGAGGGGTCAATTGTAATGTCATTTTTGTCATTTCTGATTGTACTTATTTGGATCTTCTCTCTTTTTTGTCTTTGTTAATCCAGCTAGCAGTCTATCAGTCCTGCTTATATTTCTGAAGAACCTATTTATGGCTTTATTGATCTTTTTAATTTAAATTTATTTTTTATTTTCATAGTGTTGGAGTCTTGCTATGTTGCCCAAGCTGGTCTCAAACTCCTGGTTTTAAGCCATCCTCCCACCTCAGCCACCCAAAGTACTGGGATTACAGGCATGAGCCACCATACTTGACCTCATAGATCTTTTGTATGGATTTTTCCATCTTAACTTCATTATGTTTTTCTCTAATTTTAGTTACTTATTTTCTTATGCTAGCTTTGGGGTTGGTTTTCTCTTTTTTTTTTCTAGTTTGTTTAGGCTCAAAGTTAGTTTGTTAATTTGAGATCTTTCTAACTTCTTGCTGAAAGTCTTCAGGGGTATAAATTTTCCTCCTAACATTGCTTTGGGTACATCCCAGGGATTTTGTTAAGTTGTGTTCCAATTATCATTAATTTCAAAGAATTTTTTGATTTCTGACTTAATTTCAATGCTCACACACAAGTTATTTAAAATCGAATTGTTTAATTTCTATGTATTTGTGTAGTTTTGAGAAATCTTGATATTGAATTCTATTTTTATTTTACTGTGGTCCACAAGTATGCTTGCTATGATTTCAAGTTTTTTAATTTACTGAGATTTTCTTTATGATCAAGCAGGTGGTTGATCTTAGAATACATTCCGTGTGCAGATGAGAATGTATATTCTATGGTTGTTGGGTGGAGTGTTCTGTAGATGTCTATTAGGTTCAATTAGTCAAATGTTGACTTTAAATCCAGAATTTGTTTGTTAGTTTTCTGTCTTGATGATCTGTCTGATGCTGTCAATGGGGTGTTGAAGTCTCCCACTATTATTGTATTTTTGGCTAGGCCTTTTTTTTAGGTCAAGAAGAACTTGTTTTATGAATCTGGGTATTCAGTTGTTAGGTGCATATATATTTAGGATAGTTAAGGCTTGTTGTTGGATTGTACCCTTTATAATTATGTAATACCCTTCATTGTCCTTAATTTTTATTGGTTTAAAGCTTGTTTTTTTTCTCATATAAGAATAGTGACTGCTGCTCTCTTTTGTTTTCCATTTGCATGGTAAACCTTTTTCTATCCTTTTATTTTGAGCATGTGGGTGTCATTACATGTGAGATGAGTCTCTTGAACAACAGATGGCTGAGTCATTTCTGTTTACCAAGATTGCCACTCTGTGTCTTTTAAATGGGATGTTTAGCCAATTTACATTCAAGTTACTATTGATATGTGTGATTTTGATCCTGTCACCGTGTTGTTAACTGGCTGTTATGTAGACTTGATTGTCTAGTTGCTTTATAGTGCCTGTGGGCCATGTGCATAAGTGTATTTTTGTGGTAGCAGGTGTTCTTTTGGTTTCATGTTTAGCACTCCCTTCAGAACCTCTTATAAGGCTGGTCTTGTTGAAACATATTCCCTCAGCATTTGCTTATTTGGGAAGGATTTCATTTCTCTTTCACTTACGAAGCTTAGTTTGGCAGGATGTGAAATTCTCGGTTGGAATTTCTTTTCTCTAAGGACACTGAAAATAGGCCCCCAATATCTTTTGGCTTGTAAGGTTTCTGCCGAGAGGTCTTGTACTAGCCTAATGGGGCTACCTGTACATAGCTTGACCTTTCTCTCTAGCTGCCTTTAAGATTTTTTCTTCTGTGGTGACTTCAGTGAATCTGATGACTATGTGCCTTGGGGATTGGTCCTCTTGTATAATATCTAGCTGGGGTTCTCTGTATTTCTTGGATTTGCCTGTCAATCTCTTAGTGAGATGAGGGAAATTTTCACAAACTGTATGCTCAAGTATATTTTCCAAGTTGCTTATTCTCTCTCCTTCTTGCTCAGGAATGCTAGTGAGTCATAGATTTGGTCTCCTTACATAATCTTATATTTCTCAGAGGTTTTGTTCATTCTTCTTAATTCCTTTCTCATTATTTTTGTCTCACTGAGTTGACTCAAAGAACCAGTCTTCAAGTTCTAGATTCTTTCTTTAGCATGGTCTATTCTGTTGTTAATACTTCCAACTGTATTATGAAATTATTATAGTGAGTTTTTCAGCTCTAGAAGTTCAGTTTAGTTCTTTCTTAAGATCGTTATTTTGTAGCCTGAATAATATGGCAAAACCCTTTCTCTACAAAAAAATACAAAAAATCAACTGGGTGTGGTCACGTGTACCTGAGCCTGGCAGGTTGAGGATGCAGTGAGCCCTGATTGTGTGACCACACTCCAGCCTGGGTGACAGAGTGAGACCCTGTCTCAAAAAAAAATAAATAAATAAAAAATGATGGCTATTTTGTCTTTCAGCTCTTGGATCATCTTACTGGATTCTGTGGATTCTTTTGATTGGTTTCAACTTTCTCCTGAATCTTGATGACTTTGCTTGCCATCCAGCATTTGAATTTTATGCCTGTCATTTTAGCCATTTTAGAATGGTTAAGAACTATTGCTGGGGAGCTAGTGGACTCATTTGGAGGTAAGGGGACACTCTGGCTTTTTAGATTGTCTGAAATTTCTTGTGCTGATTCTTTCTTATCTGGGAGAATTGGTGTTCCTTTAACTGCGGTTTAAGTTGAGTATATTCAGTTGGCTTCATTTCTGGATGCTTCTAGATGGCCAGGGCTCTGTAAAGGAACTTTATATTTGGGTCAGTTCTTGCCCTTGGTTCCACAGGTGTATATATTAGTGGGATAAACTTTTGGTGTTGTAGGTTGGGCTGGAATCCGGTAGATGGCACTTAAGAATAATGGCCAGTAGCTAAGCTAATACCCAGTAATGTGACTCTTTTGTACTACCTTGTATCACAGGCATGCTCTGTGGTGGCAGGGGAGAGAGACAGCCCCCTCACCAGTCCACTCTTGGGCCTTGGGGGAGCCCCTCTGATGGCTGGTGCTGTACCCACATTTTTTTGTTAGGTGCTCCATGTGGTGGGGTCTCCTTGGGCAGAGGCTGTGGTAGGGAGATATGAACATAGTCTCTGAAATGGCCTTGAGGAGGAAAACACACTCTGTTCCTTCTCTGCCCCAGGAACCCATGCATCTCACCCTTCTCAGTGTTCTGAGGATGGGGGCTCCTTCTCCACTTGAGTGCCAGCCACAGATCTTGGCTTTGTACTATTGAGCTGCCCGCTACAGTCCTGGGGGCACTGGGATGCTGGCTTGGGTCTGGGTTGTGTTAGTGGTGAGGGATCCAGTGTGTTCCAGGGTCCTCAGGAAAGTACTCAGGTGCAGTGACTCACTAAGTGTGGGCTGCAGGGGCTGCACTGTGCACCCACTCCTGCAGGGAAGCTAGGCATAGACCCTATGAGGGAACAGCGGGCAGAAGAGCTTGCAGAGCAGATGCCCCCAGTCCTGTGGTGAAGCTGGCCCCCCTTCTCCTGGCTTAGAGGTCAGCTGCGGTCTGCACCTCCTGGAGGGGAATGGCGAGCCCTGGGGGATGGGCCTCTGTCCTCACTCTCTGCTGGAGAGCCTAGTGTACAAAAGCTCCCAGGCTCCATGCCGTCCAATGGCCTGTCTCTGCACGCTCTCTAGGGAGATCCCCCACTAGAAGTCCATGTCCATGGGGATACAGAGTCCCCTGTAGCTAGGATTCCAGAGGTCTGCAGCAAAACTGAGCTGTCCCTCAGTTCCCTCACTCACCCCTTTCTCAGAAGCAATTGGAGCTGGAACTAGCCCTGGCATTCAGGTATCCTACACAGGATTCCCAGCTCCATCCCTCTTCTGCCTTGGTTCCTGCATCACTTCTCCATCCACCCTCAGCATTTTCTCTCTGAAGATCTGCCCAAATTATGGTGGTTTACTCGATAATTCGGTCTCTCTCAGTAGGAGTGGCATTTTTGGGACTGCATCTAGTTGGTCACTTTGTGTTCAATTTGAAGAATGTTTAGGACATATTTTGCTGGACAGCTCTTCAAAGCACACTGCTGAGCACTTCTACTGGGCCCATTTTGAGACTGAAATTGTAGAGCTTTTGTGAAAATAAATGTGAGCTAAAAGCTTGAATAGACATTCTCATTTCAATATTTGTCATTTAAAGTATCCTTCATTATTATCAATATAAAGTGAAAATGCCATACCCACAGTCGTGCTGCCAATCATTTTCTCTACTGAGCTAAAGACTCACAGAAATGGGATTTTTATAGTAGCCTCCAGAGACACTGAAGTTACAGTGCTATCTGCAACCCAAATAGGAATGTATCTACCACTGGCAAAATGAATTAGTATGACTAAAACTCAAATGAATCCCATTTCTACCCCCTGCTCTCTTCCAGAGTACTTATCTTATTTTATTGTTATTGCTTTATAAATTTCCTGCCTTTGACATTGTAAGCTAAGCAAGGGAACAGTCTATATATACATTATTTTACATTGTTTTCACAGTATTTAGTACAATGTCTGGTTCATGGTAAACTATTAATCAGTATTTGTTGAATGTGTGTGTGTGTGAATAATAAAATGAATCATACCATGATCTCAGTTGCTAAAACAATGCACTATTAAATGGAGGGCAAAAATTTTACACTAGAGAACTAAAGCCCATAATATGAATAATCAAATGATCCACTTTCAAACAATGGTGAATGACTGAGCAAGCAATATTTAACCTATTGGGAAATTTTAAAGTTTAGTAATTAATTAATCATCCTTCAAAAAGCACTTATTGAACACCTATTATGTACTAGTTCCTGGGATAAGCTCTAGGATAGTAGTTTCTAACAGAAGCAGTACTCAACTCCCACTCCCATCCCCAGTTGTGTTTTGCAATTTATTTGATTTTTCTTTTTGCTGTCTATCATGATATTTGGTGGCCAGGAGCCAAACATTCTAGATATCTTACAATTTGTAGGATAGTCCTTCACAATGAAGAACTATTCCAAGTTCCACAGGATTTTGAAATATTTTGCAAGACATTTAAGTGCCATATTTCACTCAATGTAAGATACCATTGATTTTAAGATGTACTATAATTGTATATATAACTGAGAAGGAGGAACACTGCAAATTATACTCTGACACAATTCCTTCAGTATAGTTCTGCACAACACACACATCAGTCTCAACAGCTCTTGCTCTTCTGAAATTTCTTTTAACTACTCTGAGCAACCTACAAATACTCCTCCTTTTTGTTACTCAGATGGATCTACAAATTCTTCTGCCTTCTGTTGCAGTGAATGGCATACAATAGTTAATCTTTGCATATATTTCATTATGAAAATGTAAGACATTTATTCATGGTGTCTTCTTTTTTTAATTAAAAAAATGTGCTCTGCCAGGTGTGGTGGCTCATGCCTGTAATCCCAGCACTTTGGGAGGCCAAGCTGGGTGGATCACAAGGTCAGGAGATCGAGACCATCCTGGCTAACACTGTGAAACCCTGTCTCCACTAAAAATACAAAAAAAAATTAGCCAGTCGTGGTGGCGGGTGCCTATAGTCCCAGCTACTCGGGAGGCTGAAGCAGGAGGATGGCGTGAACCCGGGAGGTGGAGCTTGCAGTGAGCTGAGATTGTGCCACTGCACTCCAGCCTCGGTGACAGAGCAAGACTCCATCTCAAAAAAAAAAAAAAAAAAAAAAAAAAAAAAAAAAAAAAAAAAAAAAAAAAAAAAAATGTGCTCTAGCAGTTCGAGGTTCCTCTGGGAAAAAATATTGAATGATAGTTATTCTTCCAATGACAAATACTTTGTAATTTCAAAATGATGTCCACTTTCCTGCTTCCACGCTTGTGAATAATTATTTGTATTGATGCTGCTTCATAATATAATCTCTTTAAATGACATTTTATATAGCAATTAAACTCAACACATGTAATACCTGCAAAGCAGATAACCCAATTGAAGTGATGAGGATATGAACAACTGATCAAGTTTCCTCATCTTGGCTGCAACCTGATTGAAAGAGACTGTAAGAAGCCATTGACTGTAAGATGAATTTTCTAATTTCAAAAAGATTAAAATGTGTCTAGAGACAATAGATGAAAGATTTGTTTTTGTAGTTATTTGAGTCCAGAGTCCAACTCCATTTAACTCAAATATGCTGATTTTTTTCAAGAATGCAAATATACTACGTAAATTGCGATAAGATTACCCTTTGCTTTGTTCAGTCTCTTTAGGTTTGAGTCTTTTAGGTCACATACCTATAACTGCATTAGGAGCTACTATATTCGACGTGATTCTTCATATAGTTGCAAACATCTGACTAATTTAAGACTTGTCTTCATCAATGATTTAGTCTCATTTATTATACATAATTTTCTTATTGCTCTTATACTATACTGAGGGCATTTTGTTGATTTGAGAACAGAATGCTGATTTATAATATTTATAGAAATATATAAAACATATTTCAAAAGACTATAGCTACATTGTATATTGTGATTGATAGTATTTAAATACTGCTAAAGTGATATTGTTTATACAACACTTGAAATTCACTCACCTTCTTCATACAGATGTAGGTTTGAAATGCATGCATTTTTTAAGGGTATATAAACTTTCAATCTTCTTATCTTTTTCATACTGCTAGAATTTTTATACATTCTTAATCACATTAATGGTATTGTTTTTCTAAAAAGGTGAGCCTTTTTTACTAAAAGAATTATCCCCAGTGGAAGCTGTTTTTAATGATGCATAGTAACTGATAGGATACTAATGTGGTTTTGACCTAGTTCTTTTTTCATTTGAAGCACAAATAAAAATCTCACCAGGGTAGTCAGACCATCTCCAAAAGACTGATCAAATCCTGAAAATATGCAAAGGCATTTCAGACAAACATTTCTAATTTTAATAGTTAGATGAATGCCATGACCTTTAATCTGAATATCTTCAGCTTTAACATCACTAATTATCTTAACTTTTTTAATGTTCTGAACTTGTAGAAATGTCTAATTAATTTTCAGTGGCTCAATGAGATTTAGGTATATATGAGCATCTTCCAAAATATGTAGAGTCACTTGGCTTCAGGTCTATGATGTGTGGGATCATGTGATGCTAAAAAGCACCAGGGCCCCACGTTTCCTGACCCCTGGTAAAGTTCACTACCCACCATCAAACTGGCAACTGACATGACACCAGAACGATCAAAGGGAGATTTTTTTGACTTCTAAGCACACTTGATGATTCTTTTGTCATTGTGGTTGGTTTTCATTGTGTCAATAACTTTTGGCAGTTGGTCTACTCCTTAACCTGAATAATCAGGATTAATCTCTCTGCATTCTGTCTCCAATGTCTCCACTGATGTCTTACATAAGCTGGTTCCAAATATGCATCTCCTGGTGGGGAACCCGAGACTGCCCAAAAAGATTTTGAGATCCATTGGCATTCCAGATTTTTACTCCCTTGGAGGCAATTACTTAGCATCTGTGGATAAATCGTATATATAACATAGTACCACAGTAACTCCTCCAAACACCTCTGCAGGATACATGTTTGGTTGCCAGCAAAGAAAACTCTTCTGTTCAAGGCACTGCATGCTGAACATGCACAGGGTGTTAGTGAGTCCTCCTGAAGCCAGGGCAGAATGTGCTTGATCTTCTCTGGGTACTGCAGTTGGCCTCAGAGATGCAGCCCTGGCTTCTGGCCCAAGAAGGTGAATGTCAGGAATCTGTGCTACACTCTTGCTGCAAAAGCCATCAGGCCTCTTGGTATTTGAAGCATGTTTTTATGTAGGATATATTAACTATGGATTTCATTTTAGGAGAGTAAAAGGACTAAATATACTTATAAATAGGAGGGCTTGGTCTGATAAGATTGAGAACCACTGAACATAGATATGCTATTTCGGCTAATAGTTCATTGAAGAGTAGACATAGACAATTGCTGCAAAATGGGAAAAGTGTGGCGATAGCGGTAAGCACACAGTGCTATAAAAGCACACAGGAGGGCACTTAGGATGGATTGGGGAAGGGCCGGGCAGGGCTCCCTAAGGGAGGTGATTTTTGAGCTGACCTATAGAAAGATTTGGAGTTATCTAGGTAAATGAGGGTTATTCTAGTTAGATGAAAAATGCCTTGGTGGTGTGAGATGACATAGCATTTATAAAGATCTACAAATGGATGAAGTAGTTGAATCAAGGGAAACAGTAGTGTTTTGATTGGATAAGATGCCAGGTTGTTCACAGGCAATTATTGCTCCTGCCTCCTGAGACTCCATTAAAATGAAATAAATCATTTCCCCTTTCCTCTGACTCCCATGTACAGTCGGTGTAAATCCACAGAGAAAAAGGGAATGAGAGAGGGGATGTTAGTAGATGAAAGATTGTTATAGTTTGTGAATTTAGGAAGTTCATAGAAGCAGAAATGTTATTTAAAATATTTAAAAATAAGTACGATGCAGGGCCCAAGCAATCAGAAAGAACTGCCTGTTGTCGTGCAGAAGAGTTTCCTGGAGACCCTCTGCTGAACCAGTTGTGTGCTGCACAGTCTCTGTCACCCCTTGGCTTATCTAGATGTACTCTTCACTAAGCTTTTAGAGCTGAGAGGACTCCCTTGCTTTTTGACTACCTGATGGTTCAGCTAAAGGAGGCATCAGGGGTATCAGGATCATTATTCTATTGGTTCTTTCCCTGCTGAGCCATGGTTTTGTGTGCCTTCTATCCTCTACCTAGGACCACAGTTTCTGTAGGGTAATCCATTCTATAGCTATAGCTTTGCTTAGCTGCACCAACAGTTTCCTTTCTTGCCTCTTCAGGCTTAGAGGAGGTAATAGCTTTCTAATCTTGATGATTCTGGTGTCTTGTCCCATCCCTTGTTTGTTGGTTTCCCTTAACCCTCTTCATGCTGCTGTAAATGCTCTCTTCATTAAATCCTTCAATGCTCCCATTTTCTGTGCACCATCTGCTTCCTGTGAAGAGTCGTGTGGGTGCATGTGAAAAGGGGGTTTCCCAGGGAGAGGATGTGGTGGGGGGTGTGTGTGTGAGGGATTCTGGAGAGGTAGCTAATAACCAAGAAGGACAATAGTATTTCTGTTTCATGAACTGTCATGGCTAACCTGGTGAATGTCAGTTAGATATCAGTTCTGGATAGGATAAAAACTATGTACTTATCAGTGTAGAAGCTTATACAGAAGAAGAAGGGCTTTTTTTTTGGTCCCCCCAAATGCACAAAGGGTCAGGATGGTATATATTTCAGAATATAGGAAGTAAAGTCCAGAACTAAAAATGGTACAAACAAAGGAATGGCTTACACATCTGAATATGGAACTGGAATCTCAGCTCTTATTTCTATCCAATAACTAGTTGAACCAATAACTAGATTTGTAGCTTTCAGACAAAAGATTGTAGGTTCTTTTTCTATAGGAATTAAATAGTGAATACTTGAAATTAAGGGAAAATTTAGTAATATTGATTGAAGAGCTGCACTCAAGGATGGTTGATCTCTATTCCTTTGTTCCTATCTGGCCTTTGTTGCACATATTCCAATCAGGAGACAGGAGAACTCTTCTGGAAAATAGAATGGCTTCAGGGAAAATTCTTCACATATTGATGTTTAGAAATCGCCAGTGAAAATGTGGTTCCCACTGGGTCAATCCATAGTGAAACATGTGAATTGACATACTTCATCCATATTAGAAAGCTGCCTGTTAGCTTTTTAAGCTTTCATTTTTAGTATGTACTCAAACCAAAGATCTCTTGGCATAAAAGTAAAGCTAAAGACAAACAAATAAAATAAACATACAGAGAAAGTGCCCACAGCAAAAAAATGCATAAATCAGAATTAACCTCTCCCAAATAAAAATTTCACAGCTCCAACTAAAACTTTAAGGTTTGTGAGAACATGCTGTAACTATTAAAAAGTCCCAGAAAACAACTTTAAAAATTAACATACAGGTAAATTAAAAAATCAGGTGGCTAGAATTATAAAAAAGAAGGTTTGGAACATAAAGTCAAGAAAATTTCTCAAAATACAATAAAAACAGAGGTGGAGGCCAGGCATGGTGGCTCACACCTGTAATCCTAGCACTTTGGGAGGCTACGGCGGGCGGATCACCTGAGGTCAGGAGTTTGAGACTAGCCTGGCCAACATGATGAAACCCCATTTCTTCTTAAAAAAAAAAATTAGTTGGTTGTGGTAGTGCACACCTGCAGTGCCAGCTACTCGGGAGGCTGAGGCATGAGAATCATGGAGGTGGAGGTGGAGGTTGCAGTGAGCCGAGATCACACCACAGCACTCCAGCCTGGGTGAAAGAGCGAGACTCTGTCTCAATTAAAAGACAAAAAACAAACAAAAAACAGAGGTAGAAGGCTGGGCGCTGTGGCTCACACTTGTAATCCCAGCACTTTGGGAGGCCGAGGCAGGCGGATCATGAGGTCAAGAGATCAAGACCATCCTGGCTAACATGGTGAAACCCCCACTCTACTAAAAATACAAAAAATTATTCAGGCGTGGTGGCATGTGCCTGTAGTCCCAGCTACTTGGGAGGCTGAGGCAGGAGAATCACTTGAACCTGGGAGGCAGAGGTTGCAGTGAACTGAGATCATGCCACTGCATGCCAGCCTGGCAACAGAGTGAGACTCTGTCTCAAAAAAGGAAAAATGAATAAATAAAACAGAGGTGGAAAATATTAGAAAAAAGAAGATACTTAGAAGATAAATATAGGAAGTTCCACATCTGACTAAGCTCCAAAAAGAAAGAAAAAATAATGAAAATGGAAGAAAGGAAATGATAAAAATGAAATACAGTAAAATATCTTAGAATTGAAGTATATTAATATCCAGATGTAGAAGCCTTACCAAGTCGCCAGTGCCAAGAATGGAAACGACCCACACGAGGACACTTCATAGTGAAACTGCAGAGCACAGACATAAAGTAAATTTCAGAACACAGATATAAATACCTTCTGAGTGTTAGAAAAAAAAGACACATGTAAAGGACTAGGAATCAGAATAGTACCAGACATCTCAAAGAAAGTCTAGGAACAATGACAGAGTAGAAGATGGTTTTCAAAATTCTAAGGAAAAGCTCACTCTATCTATCTATCTATCTATCTATCTATCTATCTATCTATCTATTCCTCCATCCATCCCTCTCTCTCTATATTAATCCATCCATCAATCCATTTCATTATCTATGTATGTATGTATGTATATCTATCTATCTATCTATCATCTATCCATCCAGCCACCCTCTGTCTGTCTGTCTGTCTGTCTATTGGTCTATCATCTATCATCTATCTATCTTTATGTATCTTACTGAGAACTTGATACTTAACAATGAAAAGAACAGATGAAGACCTCCTCATGGAACCTTTGTTAAGCGATTAATGGAGGGTGTGTTCCAGCAAAATACGGGAATAAATCAAGTAAGAGGAAAGCATAAGCTTTGCACAGTGGGAGTATGGTAGCCAGTGAGGTTTATTCCAGGTGCAATTATTGCTAATTGATAACGTTTCCCAATATCCCACCATGACAACTTGAAACATAGTCGGTATTGGCAATTTTTGACAGTCTCTAGTGACCAAGATTTAAAAAAAGACAAAGAAAGAGGCAAACATAGAATCTAGGGAAGCATGTCTCTAACAAAGGAGAGTAGCAAAAGAAGTGCCTGGCTGAAAACCATTCAGAGGGCCTAGAGAGCAACCATCCTTGTTCAGAGCAGGAGAATGAAGGCCCCCATGATGCAGAGCTCCATCCAGAAAAAAAGTAGACCCAATGGAATAGATGAAATTGTCGGTGGTAACTTAGAGATGAAGGAAAGTATTAACAACATTTAAATGAAAATTAGGCAAGCAAAAAAATAAGAATTTTTAAAAAGGTGACACAATAGTGAACAAAAAGCTCTACAAAAAATAATGTATCGATCCTCTTCCTAAGCTGGCGCTCAGCAAGGAAAAGGCCATATTCAGTTCCAGCGCCAAGATCATGAAGCCCAATGACGAGAAGCCGGACGAGCTCAAGCCCAGCATCTCCCAGGCTCTTCTGCAGCTGGAGATGAGCTCAGACCTCAAGGCTCAGCTCAGGGAGCTGAATATTACGGCAGCCAAAGAAACTGAAGTTGGTAGTGGTCGGAAAGCTATCATAATCTTTGTTCCCGTTCCTAAACTGAAATCTTTCCAGAAAATCCAAGTCCAGCTAGTAGCGAATTGGAGAAAAAGTTCAGTGGGAAGCATGTTGTCTTTATCACTCAGAGGAGAATTCTGCCTAAGCCAACTCGAAAAAGCTGTATGAAAAATAAGCAAAAGCATCCCAGGAGCCGTGCCCTGACAGCTGTGCACGACGCAATCCTTGAGGACTTGGTCTTCCCAAGTGAAATTGTGGGCAAGAGAATCTGCATGAAACTGGACGGTGGCCTGCTCGTAAAGGTTCATTTGGACAAAGCACAGCAGAACAATGTGGAACACAAAGTTGAAATTTTTTCTGGTGTCTATAAGAAGCTCACGGGCAAGGATGTTAATTTTGAATTCCCAGAGTTTCAATTGTAAATAAAAATGACTAAATAAAATATTTTCACAGTAAGAAAAAAAGAAAATAATAATAATGTTGTGATAACTTTTTCTTTGCAGCGAGTTATATTTTCTGAATCAGATTATATGGATTCAACTAAAAGTAGCTTTTAACTATATTTAAGAAATAAGAGAGAGGAGGTGAGAGTATAGAAGTTAAATGCACGTGTGTCATATATGGAAATTTAAAGATAAAGTCTGAAGTATTGATAAATCTAGATAGAGAAGTATATACCTATGTAGAAGAGACTTCTAGAGGTCGCCCAGAAGCTGTCTCTCCTTGTCCAACAGGAGGCTTTGGCACATGGCTGGCCAGTGCAAGCAGTACTTCTCCACCCTCCAGGCTGGGATGAAGTTTTGGCTCATGAGTTGTACATACACGTTTCAAGTGACAGCACCTGAAATCCTTCAAGGAACAGCATGTCCATGTGCCCTTTGCCTTTTTGTCTTTGTTTATTTTCCCCATCTTGATTTCTAAAACATAGATTCTACCTCAGACTGTGAGGACAGAGGCTACATTCTAGTGGCAGTGGAATGTGAACTGGGAGAAGTCTGGCTCTTTATACTGCAAGTCTTTTATGTAAGAGAAAAACTCAAAAACAAAAACCCTGTTTCTCTTATTTGAGGCATGGCTTTGAGCTTGTCAGAGCCAAACCTAAACTCTTTTAGCATAGTATGAGAAATATGAAGGGAACATCAGGAACCAACTGAAATGATAAAAAATGGTTGTCTCTGGAGAGTATATTTGGCACTAAGGAGGAACAAAGGAAGGAGCTACTGTTTTCCATTATAAACTTCAGTAATAATAAGCCGAATATGAAATTGCTATTTAGTAGACTGAAATTGGTTAAATATCAGTGATTTACTATGCTTCAATCTAATATATATATTTTAAACCAGGTGCATGTATTGGTATGATTAAAACATCTTTGAATACAAAAGAAAGAGGAGACTGGGTAAGTAGACAGGAATCTAATCTTGAAAGACCTGCTATGTCATAGAGAGGGTCTGTGGTTTAACGTGATCAGATTGGTGTTTTGAAGATGATTCCCAAAGTAAAATGGAGAATATACTTTATAGTATAGCTCCATTGTATAGTAGCTATAGTAAATAATTTTAAAAGAAGCCTTTATAAAGCAATCAAGGCAACAAATAATGAAAACTAAACTAAGGCTGTTGCAGAGAAGATCAGGTTAAGAAATATGTTATCAATCAGAGAAAGAGAGCAGGAGATGGAAGAGAGGCAGTCTGGCAAAGTGGTAAAGAATCTGAATCTGAAGTCCCTTGGACTGTCCGTTATCCTGTGTGGCTTTGGCAAGGTTCTGTAATCATGCTGTGCTTCCTGTTCTCATTTATAGAATGGGGATAACAATTGTACCTCCTTTATAGACTTGTAGTGAACATTACATGCAAGAGCACATATGAAAATCATACAGAAGTGGTGAGAGTGCACGTTCTTGTCTTTTTCTGCTTCTCAGGGGAATGCTTCCAGCTTTTCCCATTCAGTATGATGTTGGCTGTGGGCTTGTCATAGATGATTCTTGAGTACACATGGACACAAAGATGAGAACAAGAGACACCGGGGACTACTAGAGGAGAGAGGGCAGTGGGGAGGCAAGTGTTGAAAAACTAACTGCTGTGTACTATATTCACTACCTCGGTAATGGGATTATTCATACACCAAACCCCAGTGGCACGCAATTTACCATGTAACAAACCTGCACATGTACCCCCCAAACCTAAAACAAAAGTCAGAAAAAAAAAGGAAAAGTAACAAACTCCCTGGTGCAGAATAAATACTGAATAAATGTGAGCTACTATTATTACTACAGGTCGCTTCATCCATTGGAGGAAGCTCAGGAGAATGCACAGCCTGGGCAGTAGGAAGATACTAAACTCCATTCTGGAATGTGGCGTTTGAGCTACTGGCTAGATCTAAGAGGATTTGTCTGATAAAGAAGATTGACAGGACAGAAGTTGTGCTACAAATAGGATTCACTGGGACCCACGTGGAACTTGAAGCTATGGGAATGAATTCGTTCTACATCTAAGAGGAGTATGTAGAGTGAGGAGAGAGAGGGAAAAAAATAGAAACACCAATATTTAAGGAAAAGGGAGGCCTCCAAAGAAATTAAGAATAACAAACCAGAGATTTGGGAGAAGGGCAAGTGGGGAACATTGGGAAGTAACAATTTGCAGGAGTGTTTCGGCATGCCCAAACTGGAACTGGATGTAGACAGGTCCCTTGGCTTTAGCAACTAAGTGGGTGATCACCATGTTGGTGGTCCGAGGAGCTCAGGAGTCAGAGGGCAGAAAGCAGAGGTGCTGCCAAGCATGATGAAAGCAAACTGAGCCACTGGGAGCAGACTCTTCTTTCTAGAAGCTTGTCTGGGAATGAGAAAACTGGAAGAGATTTGACAGTGTTTGCACATGTAAATAAATAAGACTTCAGAGAGGAAGGAAAAAAACATAAAATAAATAGCACACATGAGAAAGCAGGGACCCTGAGATCTGTTCTTTTCTGATTTTCCATTTTGCCTTCTCAGATAAGTAGAATGTGTGACAACAAAAAGACGAATTATTATTCTTGGCACTTAATTATGTAAGATCTGTTTCAAAGCCTCATGGGAGAGTGTTTTGTCCTGTTATATATTCTTTTTCAGTATGCTTTCCTAAAAAGTAATAACAACATGTGCAAAGAAACACTGAGAGAGAAATCAATCTGAAACAACATCACGTCTAGAGATTATTTTCTATGCCCAAACAGAAATAGCTCTTTTTGATAGCTTTTCCTATTAACATGCCACTTTTAGAAAAAATAGGAAAGTGCTGTGCTTCACAGTCGGAAAACTGCTTTCTATTTTAACTCCTTCAAAAAGGTAATGAGTAATTTCATCTGTCTACAAAACTAGATGCGTGTGTATGTGTGTGTTTAAAAAGTCCCGGAGGTCAAAATAAGTCTTTATATAATCAGAAATTTTGTGATCTTTCAGTAGAAAACAATCACGAATAATGGAATAAAATGTGTTTTTTGATCTCAGGATGTGACAAAAGGCATTTCTTATAGCAAGAAGTAAAGGCAGATAGCCACTGGAAGGTGGCCGCTGTGCTGTGGTCTCTGTTCCTGCAGCCTTGTTTAGTAGCCACTATAAATAGAAACAGTGCGGGCATAGGAGAACGGATGCACTTTTGTACATCAGCATCAGACTGCTCCCAGGAATTGAATGGCCATTGTAGCTGAGCATAAGAACTGAATAATTCTTCTTAAATGATTTTCAATGCATATACTGCTCGACATGTAAGGGAGTGGTTGTTTACATGTATCACTTTGAGAGAACTGAAGAAAAGCTCAATAAGAAATTTGCCGCAACATGGATCAAACTGGAGGTCATTATGTTAAGTAAAATAAGCCAGGCTCAGTTTATTTGCATGTTCTCACTCATATGTGGGAGCTAAAAGAAATGAATCACATAAAGGTAGAGAGTACAATGGTGGTTACAGAGGCTGGGAAGGGTAGCACGGATGAAGAACACTTGGTTAAGGGGTACAAAAATACAGTAAGATACAAGAAATAAGTACAGTGTTCAATAGCACTGTAGGGAAACTATAGTTAACAAGAATTTATTGTATATTTGAAAATAGGTAGAAGAGACAATCTGCAATGTTCCCAACACACACACAAAATAATTGTTTGAGGTGGTGGATATCCTAATTACCCTGATTTGATCTTTATGTATTGTGTGCACATATCTAAAGAAAACCCTCATGTACCTCATAAATACATGTAACTATTACATATCAATTAAAAAATGATCATCATCATCACCAAGCACATGTCTTTCTAGGCAAAAATACTGTGATCTGTGTTTCTTGTATGAGTTCTGATTATGCTCCAAGCACTATGGTATGCCCTTTAAAAAGCATTTAACATTTTAAATATTTATGATCCTATGCCATAAATACTAGTATTACCCCGTTTAGCAGGGAAATAATTTTAGACTCAGTTAAATGACTTCTTATGTTTTGACATTTGGTATGTGAGATTTAAAGCTACTACTGGAGAGAGCAGTCTTCCTCCAGTTTGAGAATTGAGTGATATTTTGGGGATAAAACAAGTAAGATATGAAGAAAATATTTAGAGGCACTAGTCACTTATTAAAAGGGAATTATGTCTAATAAATTTTCATCTTGACTAAAATACTCAGTAAAGTACTGCTATTCTGACTGTATTTGCAGCCACATATATGCATATATACATATATATGTATATGTATATACTGTTTGACTAAACTCTATTAGTATTTTTGCAATGTCTTTCATTTTATGAAATTGATGTTTGCCTCAAGAGTTGTAGGCTATTTTTTTTTTTGCTAGTTGTTTATAGCTTTATTTGCAAAGGGCCCTATCTGTAAACATGAGGTAAATAATTGTTTTATATTATCAAAGAGGACAAATGATTATTTCCCAAATAAACACACTTACATTTAACTAGCTGTACAAATAGGGAACTGAGTGTTCCAAACCATGTGACTAAGATACGAACTAAAGAGAGTATTATGGCACATGGTACCACTAGAGATGGGACCACTCTCTGGCAAGAGGGTGGAGCCAGCATGTGCCTAGGATATTCACAGCCTAGAGGCATGCAATCTCATGAGCTCTTCTTGCTAAGGATTATTTAGCATAGATTTGTATGATTCCTACTATGTTTCTATGATTCCAAACCTTTTAAAGAATATTTTTATACACTTCCTATGGTCTCCTAAGAAAGTTTAATGACTATATTCTCTTTTATTTCTTACGAGTTATTTCTGCATTATTTCAAACTTACAAAAAGATGAGAAGAGCACACAGAATTTCTGTTATATGTACTTTTACCCAGATACACAAATTGCTTAAATCTTGACCCCATTTACTCTCTTATTTTAACTTATGCTTTTTATTTTTTTATTTTATTTCCCTTTTTATTTTATTTTATTTATTTTTATTTATTTTATTTTTTTAATACACTTTAAGTTTTAGGGTACATGTGCACAATGTGCAGGTTTGTTACATATGTATACATGTGCCATGTTGTGCTCCACCAATTAACTCATCATTTAACATTAGGTATATCTCCTAATGCCATCCCTCCCCACTACCCCCACCCCACAACAGGCCCCAGTGTGTGAATGTTCCCCTTCCTGTGTCCATGTGTTCTCATTGTTCAGTTCCCACCTGTGAGTGAGAACATGCGGTGTTTGGTTTTTTGTCCTTGCGATAGTTTGCTGAGAATGATGGTTTCCAGCTTCATCCATGTCCCTACAAAGGACATGAACTCATCATTTTTTATGGCTGCATAGGATTCCATGGTGTATATGTGCCACATTTTCTTAATCCAGTCTATCATTGTTGGACATTTGGGTTGGTTCCAAGGCTTTACTATTGTGAATAGTGCCGCAATAAACATACGTGTGCATGTGTCTTTATAGCAGCATGTTTTATAATCCTTTGGGCATATACCCAGTGTATATACCCAATGAGATGGCTGGGTCAAATGGTATTTCTAATTCTAGATCCCTGAGGAATCACCACACTGACTTCCACAATGGTTGAACTAGTTTACAGTCCCACCAACAGTGTGAAAGTGTTCCTATTTCTCCACATCCTCTCCAGCACCTGTTGTTTCCTGACTTTTTAATGATTGCCATTCTAACTGGTGTGAGATGGTATCTCATTGTGGTTTTGATTTGCATTTCTCTGATGGCCAGTGATGATGAGCATTTTTTCATGTGTCTTTTGGCTGCATAAATGTCTTCTTTTGAGAAGTGTCTGTTCATATCCTTCGCCCACTTGTTGATGGGGTTGTTTGTTTTTTTCTTGTAAATTTGCTTGAGTTCACTGTAGATTCTGGATATTAGCCCTTTGTCAGATGAGTAGATTTTGTCAGATGAGTAGATTGCCAAAATTTTCTCCCATTTTGTAGGTTGCCTGTTCACTCTGATGGTAGTTTCTTTTGCTGTGCAGAAGCTCTTTAGTTTAATTAGATCCCATTTGTCAATTTTGGCTTTTGTTGCCATTGCTTTTGGTGTTTTAGACATGAAGTACTTGCCCATGCCTGTGTCCTGAATGGTATTGCCTAGGTTTTCTTCTAGGGTTTTTATGGTTTTAGGTCTAACATTTAAGTCTTTAACTCATCTTGAATTAATTTTTGTATAAGGTGTAAGGAAGTAGCTTGATGGGGATGGCATTGAATCTATAAATTACCTTGGGCAGTATGGCCATTTTCATGATATTGATTCTTCCTACCCATGAGCATGGAATGTTCTTCCATTTGTTTGTATCCTCTTTTATTTCTCTGAGCAGTGGTTTGTAGTTCTCCTTGAAGAGGGCCTTCACATCCCTTGTAAGTGGAATTCCTAGGTATTTTATTCTCTTTGAAGCAATTGTGAATGGGAGTTCACTCATGATTTGGCTCTGTTTGTCTGTTATTGGTGTATAGGAATGCTTGTGATTTTTGCACATTGATTCTGTATCCTGAGACTTTGCTGAAGTTGCCTATCAGCTTAAGGAGATTTTGGGCTGAGACGATGGGATTTTCTAGATATACCATCATGTCATCTGCAAACAGGGACAATTTGACTTCCTCTTTTCCTAATTGAATACTTTTATTTCCTTCTCCTGCTTGATTGCCCTGGGCAGAACTTCCAACACTATGTTGAATAGGAGTGGTGAGAGAGGGCATCCCTGTCTTGTGCCAGTTTTCAAAGGGAATGCTTCCAGTTTTTGCCCATTTAGTATGATATTGGCTGTGGGTTTGTCATAGATAGCTCTTATTATTTTGAAGATACGTCCCATCAATACCTAATTTATTGAGAGTTTTTAGCATGAAGGGTTGTTGAATTTTGTCAAAGGCCTTTTCTGCATCTATTGAGATAATCATGTGGTTTTTGTCCTTGGTTCTGTTTATGTGCTGGATTATGTTTATTGATTTGCGTATGTTGAGACAGCCTTGCATCCCAGGGATGAAGCCCACTTGATCATGGTGGATAAGCTCTTTGATGTGCTGCTGGAATCACTTTGCCAGTATTTTACTGAGGATTTTTGCACCGATGTTCATCAGGGATATTGGTCTAAAATTCTCTTTTTTTGTTGTGTCTCTGCCAGGCTTTGGTATCAGGATGATGCTGGCTTCATAAAATGAGTTAGGGAGGATTCCCTCTTTTCCTATTGATTGGAATAGTTTCAGAAGGAATGGTACTAGCTCCTCCTTGTACCTCTGGTAGAATTCGGCTGTGAATCCATCTGGTCCTGGACTTTTTCTGGTTGGTAAGCTATTAATTATTGCCTCAATTTCAGAGTCTGTTATTGGTCTATTCAGAGATTCAACTTCTTCCTGGTTTAGTCTTGGGAGGGTGTATGTGTCGAGGAATTTATCCATTTCTTCTAGATTTTCTAGTTTATTTGTGTAGAGGTGTTTATAGTATTCTCTGATGGTAGTTTGTATTTCTGTGGGATCGGTGGTGATATCCCCTTTATCATTTTTTATTGTGTCTATTTATTCTTCTCTCTTTTCTTCTTTATTAGTCTTGCTAGCAGTCTATCAATTTTGTTGATCTTTTCAAGAAACCAGCTCCTGGATTCATTGATTTTTTGAAGGGTTTTTTGTGTCTCTATTTCCTTCAGTTCTGCTCTGATCTTAGTTATTTCTTGCCTTCTGCTAGCTTTTGAATGTGTTTGCTCTTGCTTCTCTAGTTCTTTTAATTGTGATGTTAGGGTGTCAATTTTAGATCTTTCCTGTTTTCTCTTGTGGGCATTTAGTGCTATAAATTTCCTTCTGCACACTGCTTTGAATGTGTCCCAGGGATTCTGGTATGTTGTGTCTTTGTTTTTGTTGGTTTCAAAGAACATATTTATTTCTGCCTTCATTTCGTTATGGTACCCAGCAGTCATTCAGGAGCAGGTTGTTCAGTTTCCATGTAGTTGAGCAGTTTTGAGTGAGTTTCTTAATCCTGAGTTCTAGTTTGATTGCACTGTGGTCTGAGAGACAGTTTGTTATAATTTCTGTTCTTTTGCATTTGTGGAGGAGTGCTTTACTTCCAACTATGTGGTCAATTTTGGAATAGGTGTGGTGTGGTTCTGAGAAGAATGTATATTCTGTTGATTTGGGGTGGAGAGTTCTGTAGATGTCTATTAGGTCTGCTTGGTGCAGAGCTGAGTTCAGTTCCTGGATGTCCTTGTTAACTTTCTGTCTCGTTGATCTGTGTAATGTTGACAGTGGGGTGTTAAAGTCTCCCATTATTATTGTGTGGGAGTCTAAGTCTCTTTGTAGGTCTCTAAGGACTTGCTTTATGAATCTGGGTGCTTCTGTATTGGGTGCATATATATTTAGGATAGTTAGCTCTTCTTGTTGAATTGATCCCTTTACCGTTATGTAATGGCCTTCTTTGTCTCTTTTGATCTTTGTTGATTTAAAGTCTGCTTTATCAGAGACTAGGATTGCGACCCCTGCCTGTTTTGTTTTCCATTTGCTTGGTAGATCTTCCTCCATCCCTTTATTTTGAGCTTATGTGTGTCTCTGCACATGAGATGGGTTTCCTGAATACAGAACCCTGATGGGTCTTGACTCTTTATCCAATTTGCCAGTCTGTGTCTTTTAATTGGAGCATTTAGCCCATTTACATTTAAGGTTAATATTGTTATGTGTGAATTTGATCCTGTCATTATGATCTTAGCTGGTTATTTTGCTCGTTAGTTGATGCAGTTTCTTCCTAGCTTTGATGGTGACAAAATCTCTCAGCATTTGCTTGTCTGTAAAGGATTTTATTTCTCCTTCACTTATGAAGCTTAGTTTGGCTGGATATGAAATTCTGGGTTGAAAATTCTTTCCTTTAAGAATGTTGAATATTGGCCCCCACTCTCTTCTGGCTTGTAGAGTTTCTGCCAAGAGATCAGCTGTTAGTCTGATGGGCTTCCATTTGTGGGTAACCTGGTCTTTCTCTCTGGTTGCCCTTAACATTTTTTCCTTCATTTCAACTTTGGTGAATTTGACAATTATGTGTCTTGGAGTTGCTCTTCTCGAGGAGTATCTTTGTGGCATTCTCTGTATTTCCTGAATTTGAATGTTGGCCTGCCTTGCTAGATTGGGGAAGTTCTCCCGGATAATATCCTGCAGAGTGTTTTCCAACTTGGTTCCATTCTCCCCGTCACTTTCAGGTACACCAATGAGACGTAGATTTGGTCTTTTCACATAGTCCCATATTTCTTGGAGGCTTTGTTCCCTTCTTTTTATTCTTTTTTCTCTAAAATTCTCTTCTCGCTTCATTTCATTCATTTCATCTTCCATCACTGATACTCTTTCTTCCAGTTGATCGAATTGGCTACTGAGGCTTGTGCATTCTTCACATAGTTCTCATGCCTTGGTTTTCAGCTCCATCAGGTCCTTTAAGGACTTCTCTGCATTGGTTATTCTAGTTAGCCATTTGTCTAATTTTTTTTTCAAGGTTTTTAACTTCTTTGCCATGGGTTTGAACTTCCTCCTTTAGCTCGGAGTAGTTTGATCGTCTGAAGCCTTCTTCTCTCAACTCGTCAAAGCATTCTCCATCCAGCTTTGTTCCGTTGCTGGTGAGGAGCTGCGTTCCTTTGGAGGAGGAGAGGCACTCTGATTTTTAGAGTTTCCGGTTTTTCTGCTCTGTTTTTTCCCCATGTTTGTGGCTTTATCTACCTTTGGTCTTTGACGATGGTGACGTACAGATGGGGTTTTGGTGTGGATGTCCTGTCTGTTTGTTAGTTTTCCTTCTAACAGTCAGAACCCTCAGCTGCAGATCTGTTGGAGTTTGCTGGAGGTCTACTCCAGACCCTGTTTGCCTGGGTATCAGCAGTGGAGGCTGGAGAACAGTGGATATTGGTGAACAGCAAATGTTGCTGCCTGATCCTTCCCCTGGAAGTTTTTTCTCAGAGGAGTACATGGCCGTGTGAGGTGTCAGTCTGCCCCTACTGGGGGGTGCCTCCCAGTTAGGCTACTCGGGGGTCAGGGACCCACTTGAGGAGGCAGTCTGTCCGTTCTCAGATCTCCAGCTGCGTGCTGGGAGAACCACTGCTCTCTTCAAAGCTGTCAGACAGGGACTTTTAAGTCTGCAGAGGTTTCTGCTGCCTTTTGTTTGGCTATGCCCTGCCTCCAGAGGTGGCGTCTACAGAGGCAGGCAGGCCTCCTTGAGCTGTGGTGGGCTCCACCCAGTTCGAGCTTCCCGGCAGCTTTGTTTACCTACTCAAGTCTTGGCAATGGCGGCCGCCCCTCCCCCGGCCTGGCTGCTGCCTTGCAGTTTCATCTCAGACTGCTGTGCTAGCAATGAGCAAGGCTCCGTGAGCATAGGACCCTCCGAACCAGGTGCAGGACATAATCTTCTGGTGTGCTGTTTGCTAAGACCGTTTGGAATAGCACAGTATTAGGGTGGGAGTGACCCGATTTTCCAGGTGCCATCTGTCACCCCTTTCTTTGACTAGGAAAGGGAATTCCCTGACCCCTTGCACTTCCCAGGTGAGGCGATGCCTCTCCCTGCTTCAGCTCACACTTGGTGCACTGCACCCACTGTCCTGCACCCACTGTCCAACACTCCCCAGTGAGATGAACCTGGTACCTCGGTTGGAAATACAGAAATCACCTGTCTTCTGCGTCGCTCATGCTGGGAGCTGTAGACTGGAGCTGTCCCTATTTGGCCATCTTGGCTCCACCCAACTTATGCTTTTTAAATATATGTTTGTATTTTTCTCTGAAACACTTGAGAGTAAATTTTAGATATCATGCTCATTTGTACTGAAGTCATCAACGTGTTTTTCCCAGGAACAAGGATATTCTCTTGCATAACCACAATGCAATGATAAAATCAGAAAAGTTAACATTGAAACATTACTATTATCCATGGTCCATATTCAGATTTTATCAATTGTCCCAATGATATTCTGTATAATTATTTTTTCCCCAGGCCAGGATCCATTCCAGGATCATGTATTGAATTTAGTTATATCTTAAAAATTTGGGACTGTTCCCCAGTCTTTCTTTGTGAGTCATATCTTGACATTTTTAAAAAGTACAGGCTAGTTATTTGATAGAGTGCTCCTCAGTTTGCGTTTGTTTGATGTTAACTCATAATTAGAAATTAGATTATGCCTTTTTACCAAGAATGCCAAACAAATGTTGCTGTGTCCTTCTTGGTGGTTTATAGCAGGTGGTTTGAGATTGAGTTTGCTCCATTACTGATGATCTCAACCTTCATCACTCATTGAAGGTGCTGTCTACCAAATTTTTCTTCTGGAAAGTTACCATTTTTGCCTTTGTAATTAATAAACAATCTGTGGGACATTCACTGTTGACTCTTGCCTGGATCAATTATTACTATGATGTTGCAAAATGACAATTTTCTCTCGTTCTTTCTGTAGCTATTAATTAACATTCCATTGCAAAGAAGAACTTTCTTTTCTCCCTGATTATGCATGTTTGTATGTATTATGTGTCTATATCAGTTAAGACTCATGAATTTTTTTATTCAATAGGTTGTAATATTTTACCATCATTACTTATTTTGATGCCAAATTGCCCCCTTTGTGTTTGAGTTTTAAAAAATGGCATTAACCAGCTTTGTCACATACTTTATTCACATGACCTGCATTTGATAACTTCTGGCTCATTTCAACAAATAATATATTCTCCTGACATGGAATTTCATTCTATTTGATACAGACAAAATGAATAACGAAAAATTAATAATTTTGAAGACAGCTTTGTTGTAATCAGATACAACTTCTAAAAAACAATATACAAATATTATTTTTTCTTTGTTAGTATTTTATAAAGTTCACTACATCTATAGGATGACTCTGCCTCTTAGATTTTAGGTTTTGGCATATTCACATTTGTTTCATTTTCTGTACAATTTTTCTGTTTTCTCTGTTTAGACACTCCTTTGACCCAAAGGGAGAACAAGCCTGAGGGGTCAGGAATGGATTAAAATATATGTCAGGAATGGATTAAAATATAATATATATATATAAAAGTTACTCCTAATTATTAATTATTGATTAATCATTTTCTGTGTAGTTTAATTCAATAGGTATTATTCATTTGAGTTCTTCATAAGTCTGTTTTGTTTGGGATATCTCTCTTCAAACCCCCCACACTATAGTATTTTCAAAATTGTATCATATTTGCACATCAATGAACTTATGCCCCAAAGTGGAACTGTGGCTATAAACTTAAGTGTGAACCTATTGCTTACCATTGCTTCTCATATTGTCATTGAACAAGAATGGCTTGGAAAGGTTTCACTGATATTGTACCCAAAAACTATATGTAGAATTGTTCAGAGACTAAATAAGAAATTTAATAATTGTGAAACTTTCTAGAGAAAAATTACCTGACCTGGAGCAAAATTAGAGTTTGGAAGGACTTCCAATTTAGTTTATAAGTACAGAAAATATGAATGTAGCAACTTTTTGACTAGGCCTCTTTTTGCATTTAGGAAAACAGGTGGAGTTATTTGAATTTGAAAGAGTCTACTGGGTGAGGGTGAGAGGCATTGAAATGGGATTAAGCTATCCATTTATTAGGTTATTTAGGGCTTACGTTAATTTTGTGGCTAGCACAAGTAAAGCATTCTGCTGCTTGGGGAAGTGTTTTCTCTAAAATATTCTAAGTACTTATTTTGTTGGTGGCTGCAAGAGTAAACATATTTGTGAAGTTTTTAGAAAAAGAGACTTCATTCCTCATTACAAGGAGATTTACTTGAATATGCAAGTTGTTATTTTGAATGGTGAAAGCCACATTTATGTAGAACTTCACCATAAATATGATCTTAAGTAGCACCTACTCTTAATCATATTTAGATACTTCCAATGAAAAAGATTTTCTGTTTGATTTTAATTTTAGAGGAATGCTACTTGCTTAGCAACAGCCCCATTCAACCTATCTAAAATGTTGGCGTTGAGAACTTGACATTTTATAGTAGATTCACGTTTATTTGCTGGAATGGCTGATACAAAGGGTTAAAGATCTCCATGCTACCTAGAGTAATAAATTGAAAATTAATTGAGATGACTTCCATCTATCTTCAGATTCTATGACTTTCATTCTTCCCACACTGATAAAAACAATGTAAAAAATAAGTCAAATTGCAGTAATTGAAAGCTGATCCTCTGGTCTATAGGGGCAAAATGGCTTTCCTCTTCAGCCCTGTGAAGCTGGCTGGGGCTCAGTGATTACACATCAGCTCTGCAGTAGAGCACTTCAATATGAGGATGCATTGCTCACCGTAATTTTGTTGAAAAGGTCTGTATACTATTGCTGTCATCCTTTTTTCTTCAGAAGAATTTAAGTATTTACTCACAATTGTTTAGTCAGGAATAAAACATCAGGTAAGAAGAGGCTGTTTTATATTATAAACCACAAGTCAATTATTTCTTCATTTTTAATGAACAATGGATCACTAGTTTCAAGTTAGAAGCAAATGCTGATTGACAATAAAGTCCGTTAAATACTTGCAAATGCTAAATGCAGTATAAAATACATTAAAGCCACATTTCCTGTCCTCAAATGGCTCATAATTTAAGATGATAAAGTAGTCATATATTCACCCTTCTGCTTTACTTAAAAATTAGACTCAAAGGAGAGGGGCAATTAAGCTGCCAATAAAACAATGCCTTGCCTAGTCCTTCTTAATTAAGTCAGCTTTTTGTTAAGTAGGTTATATCTGAGAATGTTTTGGGAAGGGGCAATTATTACCAGTGGGCACAAGGGAACATTTTTGGTGATGGAAGTGTCCTATGTGTTGGCCGTATTGGTGGCTATATGAGTGAACATATTTGTCAAAACACATCAAACTACTATTTAAAATGCATGTATTTTAATATATTTAAATAATACCTTACCTTTAATTTAAAAAGCCATCCTAGAAATGAATATAAAGCCCAACTAACTGATAGAATATTGTTCAAAGGATATGTGCAATCAAGTCAGAGAAAAGGAAACACAGATGGCTCTGGAAAAAAAAAATAACATATATACACATATATACACATATGTGTATATGTGTATCTATATGTATACATATATACACATATGCATATATATACACATGTGTATAAATATATATATATGTGCTAGATTCCTCTCAAAGCAAATTAAAATAACTCGAGATACATTTTTCATATATAAATTTGGAGAAAATGATTGATAACAAACACATTGTGTGGGAAAATAGATACTCTCATATTTGCCTTGTTGAAGTATAAATTGGTACCATTCCTATGGAGGGCAGTTTGGCAACAATTAACAAAAACAAATGCATATATTTCTTTTGATCCAGTAATCCTGCTTTTGGGGAATTTGTCCAACAGATATACTACATGCAGGCAAAATGACATTTGTATGATCTTATTACCTGTAGAATTGTTAATAATTGCATATGATTCCTTAAGTGCCCAAAAATAGGGGACTGGCTAAATGAATTATGGTACATCCATGTAATGGAATACTGTGTAGCTGTAAAAATGGGAAAGTCTCTATATAGTGACATAGATAACTCTCTTAATTAAATGAAAAAATAAGGCACAGTTTCCAGGAAGGTAGAGTAGAAGTAATTTTCCCTATTCCTCTCTCTAATTACAAATCAAAATCTTAGACATTATACATGCATTAAAAACAAAACAAAGAAAATGTAAGAAGACTCTGAAAGGTAGAGAGAAGGTAGCAGACCAGCTACAAATCTCAGGACCCAAGAAAAACAAGGTGGTGAGTGCCGTGGGTTTTCTTTCTGCCTTATATACCCAAGACTTGTTGCTAAAAAAGCTGGCATCCTGGAAACACCGATGAGAGCAGACAAAAAAAAACAAAAAACAAAAAACAAACAAAAAACCCTCAACAAAAGCCTACTCTCTCTAGTGAAAGGACCAGAAAATGGGCAGGCTAGCATGACAGAAAACTTTTAGACAATAACTACTCCAGCAAAATACCACAGAAAAAAATTATGTCCTTACTCCCAACCATATGAGCAAAGGCTGAGTGTAAAACCATCCCTCCACTTGTCCCTCCCAGAGCCCTGGTGTCAGGGTGGTGTCAGAGAACATACACTAAGAAGGAATCTTAAACTTTGATCCACATTCGGGGATAAATTGGACTCAGTCAAAATTTTAAAATTTTCTTTTTGAAAGACCATGTTAGTGGATGAAAAGATAAGCTACAAACTGAAAGAAAATGTTTGTAAGCCACATATCCAACAAGGACTAGTATCTAAAATATATGAAGAACTCTTAAAAGTCAACAGTAACAAACAAACAATAACAAAAACAAGCAATCCAAGTAGAAAATAGGAAAAAGACATGGAGAAATTTTACCAAAGAGGATATACAGGTGGTAAATAAACACTTGAAAATTTGTTCAACATCATTAGCCATTAGGAAAATGCAAATAAAAACCACAATAAGATATCGCTGTACAACTATCAACATAAAATATAAAATTGAAACTAATTAAAACATGAAATGCTGGTAAAAATATGGAGAAACTGAATTACTCAAGCATTGCTTATGGGAATGTTAAATGGTAAAGCTGCTGTGGAAAACAGTTTGATATTTTATCATAAAAGTGAACATCGCTATCTTATGACCAAACAATTATATATGCCTGGGCATTTATCCCAGGGAAATGAAAACTTATGTTCACCCAGAAACTTGTACCTGAAGGTTTGTGGTGGCTTCATTCATAATAGGCAAAAATTAGAAACAACCTACTGGGTGAAAACTTAACTGTGGTACATTACTATCATAGAATACTACTCAGCAATAAAAAGTAAGGAGGTATTGGCATATGCAACGATGTGAAATAACCACAGAATCATGTTGAGTGATGAAAGTCTGTTTCAAAAGATTATATAGTACAGAATTTCATTTATATAATGTTCTTGAAATGACAGAAATTTAGAAATAGGAATACAATTTTGGTTACCAGGGGTTAGGAGGGAATGGGAGTGGCTAGAAAGGGGGTGTGGCTATAAAATGAACAGCTTGAGGGATTCTTGCAGTGAAGCCAGAGTGTTATCAATGTTATTATTCTGGTTGTGATATTGTACTATAGTTCTGTAAGCTATTGCCTTTGGGAGAAACTGGTAAAAGATACATGGGATCTCTCTGTATTATTCTTACAACTACATGTGACTCTACAATTATCTCAAAATAGATTTAATTTTTAAAAGTTGATGTTCAGAATAGCAAAACTTATGCTACTTTATGTGTGAAATTGTGAGAAAAAATCTGTAATTGTTTTATTCTAAATGAATAATGGAATGCTGGAAAGATATATAAGAAATTTAAAACTTAAAAATGTGGTCACCTATGGAAGAAGGGATGGAGAAAAATGGGGACAAGAATAGAAAGGAGATCACTGTACACTCTTTTAACTTTCCAATTTGTGTGTTTTTCCATTTTACATTGTAAACTCCCATGGATCAAGTGTGTGTGTTATTTTGACCATACCTGCACAGTGCCCTATGGAATTATTTAGTAATTTGTTTAATGCTTGATAACTAGTCTATAAATATGAAGATTTTCATATGATAGTGATTAGGTGGTTTTCTGGAAGGCAAATCTATTTGAATAAAAATATAGAGCATGGAGAATGGATTAAATGGAAACCCCATTTACCACGATGTTTTTAGTATTCATTGCATGCCAGTATCAAAACATCTCATGTACCCTGTAAATATATATGCCTACTATGCACCCACAAAAATAAAAACGTTAATAAAGTAAATAAAACTGGAAGTTTGGTGGTGATATAGAAGACAGTAAGAAATATAAGAAAGAAACATACATGTGACATCTTAACAAATTTAATTGTGTTTTTTTCACTCTCATTTTATTCATTTGACATTAACTTTATCATTTTGGAAATGACTTCTTCTGTCAGCTCCAGCTGCTGGGTAACTATAGTTCTTAACTCTTGAATCAGTGTCCATTTTCTCTGTCTGCTTTGTTGACTCAACGTTTATCTCTATTACTGTGTGTGTGGGTGTGTCTGCGTGGGAGGTGGATGAGCAGTAAAGAAGAAGGAAAAAGGACATATTTGTCTTTGGGCTTCTATTTATTTTTCAGTTCACACTATATCCCAGAAAGCCCCCACATTTAAACATTTACACGCCAGGCACTATGTAAGTGCTTTATACATTAGTTAATCTTTGTAACAATGCTAGGAGGAAAGTTGTATTACTATCATACCTATGATATAGATAAGGAAAATAAAGCTGAGTGAGGTGAAAAGCTTCCCCAAGGTCACATAGCTACTAAGGGATAGAATCAAGATTCAAATCCAGGTCTGTCTGACACCAAAGTCAATGCTCTTTGCTGCTGTCCTTATTTGAGTAAGGAGTTGTAGTATGAACTTTAGGAGAGCAGATGTGGATGCTGTGAACCACATAGAACATATCTCCGGGGGCGTTAATGGGGAAAGAGCTAAGAAATGGGTCATAAATTGGCCAGACTATAGCGGTCAGTGTATGAAATGCTGAGAGCTCATAGGTGCTCAGGTCATCTTGAAGAAAATACATGCTTTGCAGGAAGAATGAGGGATTGAGGAGATGCTGGTCAAAGGCTACAAAATATCAGTTAGAAGGACGAATAATTTCAAGAAATCTATTGTATAACTTAGTGACTACAGTTAAAAGAATGTATTAATACTTGAAAATTGTATATTTTAAGTGTTCTCACCACAAATAAATAATATGTGAGATAATGCATATGTTAATTAGCTTTATTTAGCTATGCCAGAATGTATATGTATTTATAAACATCATGCTCTATGCTATAAATATATACAATTTTATATGTCAATTAAAATAAATAAGAAAAGAATACATAAGAATGAGGCAATATCTGTATGGGAATTTCTGTGATAGATCACTGAGATGAAAAGTATGTTAAAGGACCCATCTCACAAAATGGAAATCATTTTGTCAAAAAAATGAATGTGGGAGAAAAGAATGAACAAAGGATTTGATGTTTTGTACTGGGGAAAAGAATATGGTTGTACCTATTCATAGGGAAAATGGTAGTAGAGCTATCTTGGTTAAAAAAAAATAAGTAGCCAGGTGCAGTGGCTCATGCCTGTAATCCCAACACTTTGGTAGGCCGAGGCGGTGGATCACGAGGTCTGGAGTTCAAGACCAGCCTGGCCAACATGGTGAAACCCCATCTCTACTAAAAAAATACAAAAATTAGCCAGGCGTGGTGGTGGGCACCTGTAATCCAGCTACTTGGGAGGCTGAAGCAGATAATTGCTTGAACCTGGGAGGCAGAGGTTGCAGTAAGCCGAGATTGCGCCACTGCACTCCAGCCTTAGTGACAGAGCGAGACTCTACCTCAGAAAAAAAAAAAAAAAGGCAAAAAAAGCAATACTTCTATCACTGGCTCTGCAAATGTGATAGGCTGTTATCCAGACATAGAACAAGGAAGAGGAGTGGCTATTGGACAAAAGAGGAGAAGATGTTGGTGTGAAGTATATGTGGAAATCATTACTCAAGACAATTAGGATGGCTAAGCCTGTTTTGACAGCATACTTGGAAAGAGAAGGATGGTGTCAGACAAAGATCAGAAAACCAGACTCCTAAATTAAAGAAAAAGAAGAAGTAAAGAGAAAGTTGACCATGAATCAGTTCAATGATAGATTGATGGATTTGAAATAGGCCTTTGAAAGAAAACATCAGATGTGTACTATCAAACTGTGCAACTGTTTAGGATAGAACTTTTCACTGTGCTAAATTAGATCAGCGCATAATTTTCAGTTAATTTTTGACTGATGGAAATATCACTTTGATGTGGTCTGCTGTATCTGACTTCTCCTCACGTTTGGATTTCTGCTACTGAAAGTGCACTCCAGGGACCAGAGCTATAACCAAGTGCCAAGCCCCATTCCAATAACAAAATTAACCATTATGGCTCTTTAGGAATCTCCAAGATAGTCTTCAATTTTAAATTATCTCCTTTCCTTTCTGTGCCCCTACACATGGTGAGGCCAGTATTTATGCCTGGCTTTCCCAGATAATTGCTGGGTGGCTACTAGCCCTAGTTGAGACAATGGTTTAGAAAAAGCCTCTTACTGATTTCAGAAAGTCTACATATACCACAGAAGACATACTACTTGCTGTGGCCCCTACCTCCAGGACTTCACGGACCAGTTAGCTACAGATTAAAAAACTTTGTCTAGGGAGACAGACTTAATGCCGATCCAATTTTCTTCAAGAGGGAAAGTCCGAGTCCAAATATCTGTTGTATCTGTTGTGGTTACCACCTTTTGAGTGCCCTTCCTCCAAGGTCAGTCTCCCTCCATTGCATTGTCCCCAGTTATGATGAAAGTTTCTCCACAGGTTAAAAATTACCACTCAATCTACAGCCTTTGGGACATAGAGGAAACTTCTGTGGCTTGTTAAATCACTGTATTTCGGTATTTCACACAGTATATGCTACTGACATTTAATCAGAAGAAACAACTTTTTTCTAAAACTAAATTGTTAATAAGGAGATTACAACTATTTGACAAGAATAAAACATAGTCTAAAGTTTGGAAAAAGTGCTAGGGGAAAATGGAGTAAACTTTGATGTAGTCATGAGGCCCTTTATACTCTTGTTGATTAAAATTTGCCTGATAAATTACTTTCTGGAAATAAAATTTAATTCCTCCATGCCACTCACACTCCCCAGTGTCAGGGCATTCAATAATAAATGGGATCTGGATAAAATGCATTCTTCAAATGTAATTATTACTTTAAATATCATATAATGATTATCTCTTCTTTAAAAGACGCTTTTACTTTAAGACATGCATACCAAAATTTTATAGATTAAATAATATGTCTTGGATTTGCTTCAAAGTAATGCTTGTGTTAGTAGGAGGGAATATGTGGAAGTATAGCAAAAAGATTGAGTGGGAGATAATGTTTGAATCTGGGTGATGGCTACTTGCGTGTGTATTATACCACTCACTCTACTTTTGAATATGTTTGAAATTTTCCATCATAAAAAGCTCAAAAATAATATAATGGTCACCCTTAAAGCCAGTCAGTTCTCATCAACATTATTACTTTTCTCAAAGGCAAATCATTCAGAACTACAAAGCAACTGTACATTATACTCACTACTCACCTCTGACCCCCTAGGTCTTCATTGGGCAAGCAATGTTGGCAAAATGTTTTAACTTTCCAGGGAAAAGCTTCAGGGAATTCAGCTTGACAGGGTGAGTGTAGAAGAATTTATACTAAACTTTTATGTGTTTCTGCAGAATCCCTTCCTGCTGGATCAAGAGACCTATATGTTCATATGCCAGAAAAAAGGTGAGGCTCTAAAAAGAGAGGAGAGATTATGGACAGAACTTGGTTTTATTAGTCTCTATGAGCCCTGGAATCAAAATATATGTTAAAAGATGTTTATAAGATTTACTCAATTAGAATTCTCTTGAAAATTCTATTAAGTACTTTTCTAATACTCTTCTTTTTTGCAAAATACCAGAGTTTCTGAGTTCAAGTACAATTTCGCCCAGAAAAACAATAGTACACCCAAATGTACTGATTGTTTTAGAGTTGGTCTGTTACATCGCTGTTCACAGATATGTTATGCCAATTTTTCAACCAGCTCAGCAGCTGCAAGATTAAATAATAAGGTAGAGACCATTATGGTAAGTGCAGGTATAATTTTAGTTATAGATAGAGAGATGGATATTGTTTATAAGTTGATCCACTGTTTATGGGAATTTTGGCATAGTGTTATATATTCAGGCTTGACTGGGTCAAATCTGTCTTGACTTTCTCTCTTACAGCATAGCCTTGGGCAAGTTATGAAACCTTTCTGTGTCTAGTTTTTCCCTAAGGTCTTTCACTGTGTGTAAATTAACTGAATTTATGTTCATAAAGGATCCAGAACAGAATTAGTTCTTGTGCTTGTGCTTATGAAGCTTATAGTAATAAATATGCTATTAGACTTCAATCCTAGAATGTTAGACCTGGAAGAAAATACTATAATTGCTTAGTCTATTTCTCTTATTTTATAGTTAAAAAGCTTGAAAAAACTGCCAATGTCCAGGTTCCACCACCAGAGAATTGGGCCTGGGGTAGGGCCCCCAGGCAAATCTAATATGCTAAGAGGGATGAAAACCATGACTTACAAGTTACAGGAAACTGTCCTACTGGAGGCTTTTCAGCTTAACTCTAATATCTGGCATCTGGATAGATCATTCTATGTGGGCTCTCAGCCCTTCTCCCAACATGTCTGTGCATCTGTTCCTTCTGTGTTAGAGCAGAGTAACACAAACATATAATTAGTATGCTCATACCTAATATTTATAACTCTGAAACCTCTGATTTTTCTTTCCCAGCTTAAAAATACTGATGTGTTTTAAAATGCCACTTGTGAAAAGGCTAGCATTGCAGGGGTAGAGGTGAAAGCAATTTGCATAACTTCTGGAGCTTAGAAAGGAGCCTGGACTAATACAGTAATAGTGCTTTGGACAGTAACAATTTTCTGCCATCTAGTGGATAATTCAAAGAATAAACCATACGTTTACTTTTTTTTTTAAAAAATCGCATTTTCATGAAACTATGACTTCTAAGTATCCTGCCACTTTTTTTTTGTTAGTAAAACAACTACTTTTCCACAAACAGTTCCTCAAATTTATTCTTTCATTGGTTTTATTGATTGATTCTTTTAATGTGAATAAAATTATGCCTCCTTTTAAAATGTTGCTAGAATGATGGGGCACAGTGGCTCAAACATGTAATTCCAGCACTTTGGGAGGCCAAGGCAGATGGGTTGCTTGAGCCCAGGAGTTGGAGACAAGTGTGGTCAACATGGTGAAACCCCATCTCTACAAAAAATACAAAAATTAGCCAGCCATGGTGGCGCACACCTGTGGTCTGGGCTACTCGGGAGGCTGAGGTAGGAGGATCGCTTGAACCCGGTTGGCAGAGGTTGCAGCGAGCTGAGATAGCGCCACTTCACTCCAGCCTGGGTGACAGAGCCAGACCATCTCAAAAAAAAGAAGTTGCTAAAAAATGTGGACACACAAAATATAAATCCAGCATGCTCCATTTCTAAATGTTTGCCTACTTAGAGGCCTGTAATAAGGATCAATTGTGCTTATATTTGGCTCTTTCTAAAGTTTCTCCTTTCTAATTTTGGAGGTCGTAGTGTCCAAGGTTAAGAGCATGGTTTGGCCCTAAAGCCAAACCTCTTACTTAAAACTCTGGCCTTCTTGTAATAACTGTGGGATCTTGGAGAACTTAACTTCTTTGTGCTCCAGTTTTCCTATCTGGTAATGATAGTATATACTGCATAAGGCTACTGGAGGAATGAAATTCATGCAGTCCTTGGTGTTCAGTGTTATTAATGCTTTTATCATTATTGTTTACATGTGTATCAATGTTTACCAGTTTTGAGGAAGAAATTCAGAAGTGACTTGTCCTGTGACTCAATTCAATTTTAAAACTCAACATTTATTTAAGCTTATTTTATACCCAACATTATGGGAAATACAATGCTGAATGAGACATTGCCCTATTTTGAATCAATAGTTTCAGATGACTATAGGATAATTAACTATATAACTCAAAGCAAATATAATGAGTATGATATGAGAATTGTCATAAATACATAGGAGGGGGTGAATATTTCCAGCTGGAAAGGTTGACTTGTGAGTGATAAATGGCTAAATTTTAATTTGGAATTAATTGCATAAATGGCGATGATAGGGAGGACTACCCAGGTAGGAGACTATTTTGAGCAAAAGAACCAAGTTGAAGAAAATCCAGTATTTATTTATTTTGGGAGCAATGAGTAATAAGATATGGCTAAAGCAGAATGTTTCTTCATTCTTTCACCCAACACTTATTTCAGCACCTTCTCTGTACTAGGTTTTGTTCTAGGCAATGCATATTTGATGGTGAATAGAATAGACAAAGACTCCATCCTCAGAGGTACCTATTCTAGTGGGGAAAAATGCTGATAGAGTAGCCTACGAAGAGCCATGAGGCCAGATTTTGGAGGTGAACTAATGGAGAGCCAGTAAAGGCTGCTGAGCAAGATGAAGCCATAATCAGATGCTAATTAAGAAATATTGATCTGGTGGAGGAAAGGTGTAGGATAGATGAAAGGATGAGGCCATGGAGATACAAAAACATGTTTTAACAGGAGATAATTTAAAGCATCTAGATGAGAGGTAATGAAGCTTGAACCATGGCAGTGAAAAGGAGAAAACAGTCTTAAGAGACATTCAACAAGTGAAACAAGACCTGCGACCAGCAGGAAGTGGGTATGTGGGAAAGGGGAAATGGTAACACTAGGCTTTCTGCAGAGAGTGGTGGCACCATGTATTTGTATTAATAGCATCACTGATATCATAGACTCTGGAATCAGATCCATACGTATTGTAATAACTCGAGCCAATTATTGTCCCTCTTTTAACCTCAAATTCCTCATCAGTACAATGAGAATAATTTAAAGTACCAGTTTATTAGATTATTGTAGAAAATGAAGGCAAGCGCATTTCATATTCCTAGGGACATGGAGAGTGCTGGAGGTTCTTACTGGGGGAGGTAAAGAAAGCTAAGACAACATCACCTACACCTGCCTGCATTTGCTTCAGATGTATTTGAAAGGGAGATTGTTGTCACTTTAAGGTAACAATTATTCACAAAGAAGATAACTAGCTGAAGATTTTCAACAATTATTGTACATTATGATTACAAACTAAAGGTCTTTAATATTTCTTTTGAGAATCAAAGCAGTTGTGGGTTTTGATATTACTCTCCTCATAAACTGACAAAAGCCTCATACTGGCAGCTAGAAACATACTTCTTATGAGAGATAATAGAAGATTTTATGAAAAACCTAAGAATGAGAATTAAAGTTTCAATACCCAGAGAGTTTTTATTTCTCCCAGTTTTAATATCTGTCTCTGAACATTTTCTAGCTGTGGACTTGTATTTCTGTTCTTAGAAGCTACATATTGAGTTTAATACTGGGGCATCAGGCAAGAAAAGTGTGGGTGCTAGTTAAGGACCAGGTAAATGGATAAAGAAATGCCTAGATGTTTATTTTCTAGAATTCCATCCGAAGTAATTATGTTAATATCCTAAACTTATATCCACTAGGAATTAGTGCACATTAAGAGAAGGAGAACACTGGAACAGGAAAGGTGAAAGTGTCAAAAAAAAAATAGGAAGCTTAATAAGGAAGAACAAGAGAAATGCTGTACCATGGGAGGATTGAGGCAGCCCATAAATGCTGTTCTGGTATGATAAAATAATTTAATATGTCCAAAGCTACACATACTCAGCGTAGGTTAAAGTAAAATTGGCTGCATTTTTGAGGAACACAGAGAATGCATTTTGAGATTTAATCAAAGTAAGTACAATTGCATTTCTAGCTGTCTGTACACACATGATACAAAACTTGGACAGATTGACTCCAAATTTGGCAGGCATATTTAGGATGGTCTGGCTTAACAAAAAGCTATGCAATGCCTAAAACATCTACTTTGAGGGCCCTAGAGGAAACTTCAAATATAGGCAGTTATTCTCCAAAGCACCTGAAAATTAAGTGTCTCCAGACACCCTGTGAGTGCTGGTTGAGAAAGGCATATTCTATAGATTAATAGTATATGGACAGAGGAAACAGTGGTATCAAAATCAAAACTTCAATGAAGATACTTGAAACTAGAGGCATTAATTTGCCATCTAGCTGCTTCTTACATGGGCAACTCTATACAACATGATTGAGGCCAATAGCAAAAGGGATTTACATATTAATCATGATTATTGACAACTGACACTAGGAGAATATTATAGCAATAATATTTTCACAACTAGAATTTAATTCAGAAAGTATTTATTGGCTGTCTACCCAGTGCCAGACACTTCACTAAGCACTGAGTTTATCAAAGATGAATAAACATATGATATAGGGTCGAGTAGGGGTGGGAAGGAAGGTGAAGATAATTGACATTTTAATAACTTTATAATATGTTGAATATGTTCCAGGTAGATGTAAAGCAGTTTGCATATATTTTATTTCATATTCACATCAAACTTTTTGAGATTTATACTGGAAAATTGAGAAACCAAGGCTCAGAGTTCGGTAACTTAACCAAACGTCACATAACAAGCCCGTGGCAGAGCTGGGATCTGAAACCAGCTTTTCTGACTCCAAGAACCATCGTTTAACCAGGTTGCCTATCACTCCTAACTGTAATATAAACCAAGTTGTTTAAACTTCTCACAGAATTATAAAAAAGAAGTTGCAGGAAATGATTAAATTTTGCTAAGGGATATTAGTAAAGGTTTCACATAGGAGGCAACTTTGATCTGGGCTTTAGAGGTTGACTAAAATTTTGACAGGCAGGTGAGAGGAAGAGAATCCTAAGCAGAGGAAACAGCATGGGCAGGAGCACATAAAAATTAAAGTGAATGGTATTTTGGGGAAACAAAATAAGTCTGCAAGGGAAAACGAAAAAATTGTGGCTTTTCTTACAGGGCTCAGATGTAAGGAATTGGTGAGAGGGAAAATCCAAGATAGATTTAAAAAAAACCCAGCTTTATTGAGCTATAGTTTACATATCATGCAGTTCACTCATTTCAAGTCTATAAGTCAATGATTTTTAGTAATTTTATCAAGTGGTGCAATGATTACCATAAATTAGTTTGAGAATATTTTCATTCTTTCCAAAAAGTTTCCTCGTGGGCATTTGCAGTTAATTACAATTCATGACCCTAACCCCAGGAAACCACTAATCGACTTTGTCTCTGGAAATTTGCCTGTTCTGAGCATCTTGTATACATGGAATCATACAGTATGTGGCCTTTTTGTCTGACTTCTTTCACTTAGCGTAATATTTCCAAAGTTCATTCATGTTGTAGCATGTATCAATACTTCATTCCTTTTTATGGCTGCATCATATTATATTATATGGCTGTATCATACTTCTTTCATCTATTTATCAGTTGAATACTTGGATTGTTTCAAGTTTGGGCTATTATGAATAATGCTGCTATGAACATTTGTGTGGACATATATTTTCATTTCTCTTGGGCAGATATGAGTGAAATTTCTGGGTTTTATGGTAGTTTTATGTTTAGCTTTTTGAGAAACTATCAAACTGTTTTCCAAAATAGCTGTATCATTTTCTATCATTTTCATTACTGCCAGCAATATATGAAAGTTCCTGTCCCTCTACATCCGTAACAATACTTGTTACTGTCTGTCTTATTATAGCCATTCTAGTCTGTGTGAAATGGTATCTCATTGTGGTTTTAATTTGCATTTCCCTAATGACTACTTTTCATGTACCCAAGACTTGAATTCAAAAAGCTCTATTTGGATGATGCATTAACTATGATGAGGAACAGAGGACGATAAGTGGAATTTGGAGGAAGGATAATAAAGTTATTTTTAGGTGTGTGCATGACATTGGTTTGAGATGTCCAAAAGGCAATGAGAAACCTGGGTCTGGAACTCAGAAGAGAATTCAAGGCAGAAGATGTATATTTGGAACTCAGCTATCCAGAGAAAGCAATTGAAATCATGGAATTAGGTAAGTTCACCAACAGAGAAAATATAGAGCAAGGAGGTCAAGAATATTTAGGAATATTTGTTTTTAAGAAATTGATAGAGGATGGTGTGCCAGTGAATGGGGCAGAGATTTAGGAGACATAGGAGAGAATGGTGTCATGGATGCCACTGGCAGAAAGATTTTGAAGAAGCTTGAGGAAGCCAACGATAGCAAGTGCCTATCTCATAGCAGACAGAAAGTTGAAGAAGCAATCATGGACTTTTGTGGCTACATATTAGTTGGTGATGTCTAAGAGAGTAATTTCCATGGAGGGGAGAAGACTGATACTAACTGTAGTCCTTAAGCCCAAAATTTTATCAAACTTTTCCTTTTTTTGTGCATGTATTTTGCCTCTTGTAACTATCTTGTAGTTTTGGAAAGTTTCTATTACATAGGGAAAACAAAAGTTTTAAAATTTTAATTTTTTATTTTTTTTCAGAAATGTCAAAATTTTTATCACCACACTCTTTTTCTCCATTTTTCCTCTATCCATACTCCTTCATTCATTTCCTGTTTGAGAGGTTGGGTTGAAGCTCTCAAATAAACAGACTTATCAGTGATGCTACAGAGGCAAACAAGGGATAGGATGTCATTTTTTAAAGAAGGAATAAGCCTTAAGGATTCAGTGTGTGGAATTCCGTAAATATCAAACTTTTTGTTTTTGTGTGTAGCAGGAATAGCATTTAATGTCACTGTTTGAGTCACTGGATGAATGTCTGCTGAGCTCATTAATGTTCCTCATTTAGAGAACCCTTTATGGACATCCACTCCATAAGTTTGTTAACATTCGTGGGAAAATATTTGACCCAAATACTCTTTGCTCCTCGGTGACAGGGATCATAATTCTATCACAGCGAGCTGTTCCCTTTCTCAACCACAGTGATATAAAATCCAGTCATTTCAAATACGTGTAAACTCTGTTATTTCTTTTATAGACTCCAACTTTGAGTCTGAATCTCGTTTCTTTTCCCTCCTTTTTGATTTCCTCCATATTGAACTGAGTATCTAGTCTAAAGCTTATCAACCAGAAAAATTCAGAATGGTTATAATTATCATACAAAACTTCTCTAATTCTCTCTGGATGATACATTTTTGGGACCATCTAAGAAGGCACATGGATGACTTGAATGGATGGTCTCATTTCTAAATTCTTTTGAGATGGATGGTTCAAATGAAGCCTTGATGTCCTCTCTCCTCGATATCCTTTTTTAAATGTTGACATAACACAATACAGATTCAGTAAATTCTGAGAAGTCTTAAGGCCAAATCTATCCTGGTGATGTATTTTCCCAAGTCTTGACAGGTCTCCTTTACCTCTCCCTGAAAAGAGGACCTCAAAGTTCCCATACATTTTTTAATGATGATCCCATCTCAGTCAATCCTGCAATGTTTCTGGTAGGATAATGAAGATCTAAAGACTTAATACTCCTGGAAGAAGAGGTTTAGGATAAAGGTAATACCTAACAACTGTAATTTCTAGTGATATTCTGACTCTTTCATTGAAGAGACACTATTCCAAGACAAAAAGTTTATCTTTTGGGTCCCCACAAGATCAGTACTTTTCAAAACCATGTGATTTAAAAAGTGAACTAGAAATGTTTGATGAGGGTGTTCTTTCAAATAGTCTTTGTGGAACATCTTTGGTCGTTAAAAGAATTCAGCTTCCAAGATTAATTCTGGAGAGTAACTAAATGATACTAATAATGTGGATTAAAGTTTCATGAAGATTTGTGTACTAGACATAAATTTTGCTTTAGATAGAATAAATAAGGGTTTAAAGCCACCAAGAGTTTTAGCAATTCCTTACATATAGAAATAAGAAATTAGCAAAAGACTATCTGCATCAAAGCAGAAAAATTCAATTGAAGTGGGATTTTTTTCATGAAATATTTTCAGAGTCACAGAAATAATAATTAGAGGATATTTTTAGTTTAGAATATTTTCACCATTTTATTACTGTAAGAAAGAGCATAGCTATGGATCCCCTAATTTAACAGAAGAGAGATTCTGTTTGGGTCGGACAATTTTGTTTTTTTCCTATTAATGCCCTGAAATAATATCTGAATATATAGTTATAATTTGAATGTTGTAAAAACAGATGGGTAATAGAAGGTAAAAGTTATCATGTTTCTTTATGTAATCGAAGTAGAAACACTACAGAATTTATTCCACACCTATTCTGTTTACTAAACAGTTAATGTAAAAAATAAATCTTTAAAAATAATGTGAGTAATATAGACTATGTAAAATGTAAATTTATTCAGTATAAGAGACTTCTAAAAACCAATGTATAAAATTAGCAAAAACTGTATCATTATCATAATAAACATCTATCTATAGGTGCATTACAGACTATGTGCTTGATTAAATATATCTAAAACATACCGTAACAACTATTTTCTTTTTTTTTCTTTTTGTTTTGAGAGAGAGTCTTGCTCTGTCGCCCAGGCTGGAGTGCAGTGGCGCCATCTCGGCTCACTGCAAGCTCCGCGTCCCGGGTTCACGCCATTCTCCTGCCTCAGCCTCCCGAGTATCTGGGACTACAGGCGCCCGCCACCGTGCCCGGCTAATTTTTTGTATTTTTAGTAGAGACGGGGTTTCACCGTGTTAGCCAGGCTGGTCTAGATCTCCTGACCTCGTGATCCGCCCGCCTTGGCCTCCCAAAGTGCTGGGATTACAGGCGTGAGCCACCGTGCCCGGCTAAACAACCATTTTCTTATTTAAAACACAGACAATTAACAATATGCCAAGTAGATTAAAAGTTATTTTTTTCTTAAATTCAAAAATGGTATTGCTAACATGAAATGTGTTTTTGGATTGACTTTTCATTTGTGATATTAAATTTGGCAGTTTTTTTTAACCATTTGTGATTAGTGTTATGCATTTTTCATAATGGTAGGCCAATATTTTACTCTAATGAACAATCTAGTGTTTCTTTTTTTTAAGTTATAGCAACGATGTAAGCTTTGAAGCCTGGATTGTAACATAACCACATTTTACTTAACCAGTGGAGCTAGTTTGTCCCAATTTAACACTTTTATAATGCCAAGTTAAAATTGAACCCTTGGGCTTCCTAGTCATTATTATTGAAGCAGAAATACATTTTTGCTTCTTTTGTCATCTTTAATCCCCAACATGACAAAATAAAATATTTTGACTTGTTGACTTGCATACTCATCTTTGCCAACAAATGTAACTCGTGGCCTTCAATGCCTTCTTCCTCTTTCTTTTCACTTTTGTAGCCATTAACCAAACTTATTCCTTCAGTAAGAAACTTAATCCTTGGAACCTTGCTTTCTTTGGTTCTATTCCACAAAGGATCAAAAGCATAATTTTCCTCAAACACTACAATAATTATTTTCTTCCTTTACTTATGAACAGTTGGTAACTTTCTATGGCCGGTTATGTCACTTTTTATCCTAAGAGTTAATATTCTCCCTTCCTCTGACTCTTTCTCTTTTAGCAATCTTATTTTCTCCTGCTCTTCGGCAGTCTCTGCTACTTCCAAGCCATCTGGTTGTTATTGGCACATGGGATTTGCTTTTAACTTCTTTCCTGCCCATGCAGATGTCACCTTTGAATTACTGGGAGCCCACTGTTTCCTGAGTCAGTCCATTTCATCTTTGGATAAGTCCATTAAGGAGTTTTTCTCTTTGTTACATAAACCATATAAATCAACTATATAATTTTTACATTTATCTTTGTGTGTGTTACGCAAAGACCTAAGGAGGTCTTTTTCTTAGTTGTTTTGCATATGTGTGCTATGTCTACATATGTGGTGCTTTGTTTAACCTGCAGGCAAGGATCTTTGCATCAGGCACTTCTGCATTTCCATACCATGATCCATCCTCCTACAACTCCAGACCCACAACAGTATAAGCTCTAACTTTTGGCATAGTACATGTTTAATGGATGTTTGATGTGTAGGATACCTTCTAAATGCAGAACTATTTATATGTAAAAGTATATATATTTATACTTATGAAAGGATAATAAAATCTTTAGGAAATGATTCTGTGAATTTTAATTGTAAAGCTAGAATACAAGTCTGATCATGTGCATACTCACTGCCCCCACACAGTAAAATGCCTAAACATTTCCAATTGTTTAACTAAGAAAACATTACATGTTGTATATGTATCTATAATTGGTTAACAGAGAAGATGTTACATGTTATATATCTATCTAAACCTAAGTGGCTTGGTTTTCTCTATGTGTAATGTGCTATTATTTTCTATATCATAGATTTAGTTCTACCTGTGAAATTTCATATAATGCAGAAAAAATATTGATAGTTTTGCCTGTATTTTTCAATGTGAATATGAAAAAATACCTTGGCATTGTTAATCCAAAAATACATTTATAGTTTTCAAATAGTCTATCTAGCAGAACACTTATTAGTATCTCTAAATTATTAACATCGCTGAATATTCTTGCATTTTAAACTATTTCAAAAATTATTTCCATAACAATTTTAATTGAATCTCCTGTGATGCTATTTTGGTAATTGTAATCAGCAGTATCTTACAATTAGATTTTAATCAAAACCTTTAATGCTATAATGTGTAATCTGAGAGAAGACAGTTATATATCTATGTGGGCTTCTTCTCCTGACCTCCCTCTACTCCATCCAAGAGATGCTATAACCAATGTGAAAACAGATCATGGAGAGCAGAGGTTGCTTTCCATTTGTCCCAAGTAATGTGGAAAATATCCAGGGGTAGCAAGATAGGGTCATGATCAGTTAAAGTCTGGTATAAAGATAAACCTGGTGATGGACTTCTCACTAAGGCTCTTTACTTCCTGTGTGATCAATAAACACTGACTGACTTATAGGACAGTTGCTTAGGGTTAGGAGTGCACCTCCTGGTTATGCAGGAGATTGAAACTGGGGGCACAACTGGCTTGGGGTAAGGGGGGTGTGGCACAGGTGTGGGGGAAGAGTGGGGAGGGCTCGCCTACAGCCCACATTACTCTATTGTGCTGCTTTGCAGGTTCTGAATTATCAGCAGTGAATTATTCTTTTTCAGCTTTTATTATTACTAGATTTCTTTAAAGCCCACTTTTATGTCTGCCCATTAATCATTTATGTAATTTTAGAAGGCAATAATGCATGAGGCACAGAGCTAATTATGCATTCTATTATGTCGTTAGATATCTGGATGAAAGTCATGTTCCAAGACTCAATCCCTTCCCTAAAACTCATTTCCACAAGTGAAGATTTAATGATCTATTTATTTTAAAGGTTTGCCTTTGGGGACAAAGATTATCCTGGTTAGCTCCACTTGAAAGAATAGACTTTTATTTCATGGAATCTGTAAGCGTTTAGAAAAATCACTGTGGACTTTGAAAATATATTTAATACAAAACGTGTTGAAACCCATGCTTTGGCTATCCCTAGGTAGAAATGATCCTCTTTATACCTATGCAGATTATGAGAGCCATAATGTCCTCAGTTCTCATATTCCATTGAGTAAACACAGAACTAGCAAGCTGTGGAAGCAGTGTGTATGAGGGCAAATTGTAGCTTTGTTTTTTAATTCTACAGTCAGTATGTGTGAAAAAAAGGATGATTTTTAAATGATAACAATTCTTAAATGTGATAATTGCTAATGAATTTACTCTGATCAGTTTTGTTCTTTTACCATTCATAGCTAATTTATCACATTACATATAACCAGGAATGCAAACACTAGCCTCATGTATACCTCTCAGTTTGATCTCTTAGTTTTTCTTTTACTCTTCAGGTATGAAAAACCTCATTCTTCAGTAATTACATCCACAGCTCCTAGGTATATGTCATATATTTGATTATGAAGAGATATTTTCCTCTGCTTCTAACAGCAGAGTGCAGTATTTTGCAAGGAGAGTTGTCTTTGTGATTTAGCATATATTCATTTCTGTTCTACTGTGCTTTTTGTGTGCTTAGAATATAGTTCGATCAAAATGTGTGCAAAAACTTTTCCACTCTAAACTACATGAATATTTTCTAAAACTTAAGTCAAAAATAAGACCGCAACTGAGTTCTGGCTTTAGTGACAACGAAGGCAAAATGGATTTTAGGTGGGCAAGGACTGTCTCCTAGATGTCAGTGTCCATTCCGGAGCCACATTTTTGGCAGAAGATTTCCTTGTTCTGGGTCAGGAAGCCTTTACCCACCAAGGAGACAGAGCATTTCCCGCAGTTAAAGCATTCGCTATGCCACTGGCTGTCTTGAAAGCAGATAAACTTGGCACCTGTGAGACCTGTAAAGGAATTGGAGAAAAAGATTAATCTATCCTTTCAAGGAACAGATTGAGCATTCTAGCAGATGCTCCTCTAGGAACTGGAGATAGAGCTATGAGCAAAACAACGCAGAGGCAAATAACCCAAAAAAGAATGCTGCTTCCTGGCCCTGTGTCCATCTGGAACTATCCACTGTAGGAAAGTTACACCTATGCCACCCAACCAGATTCACAGCCAAATTCTGCCATAATCAACAGAAGAAGGCAGAATGCTAATATGCAAGTCAGGTATTTTTGGAAACAGATAAGGTTGTCTAAGCCAGATAAGACAATACAGTGTAGCATAGTGGAAAGAAGGTATAGGTTGTGAAGTCAGAGATATCTAAGTATGAATACATTTCCCCTTTTTCTCTATATGACTTTAAGTTTTCTTAGCTGCAAAATGAAGATAAAAGGAAATAAATGTATGCTTCCTAGTTTGATGTCCAATGTTGTAATGAGTTTTAGTTTTCTTCTTTCCCCTCATTTTTCTGTGCTTAGTTGTACTTAGAATATGTCCTGGGGTTATACGGTTTGGGACACTATTTCTAGAAAGCATAACCAAATAGAGGATTTTGTCTAATCATTCAGCCATCCTAACGTGATGGCCTTATTACCTTGCTCAGAGCCAGCTTCAGCTTTTGTTGAATCTGGCCAATGAAGCCACGTTATCACGTGATTGGTTTCTAAGAGCTTTGTCAGCCTCCTCCACTTTAACTTGGGCCTCACTTGAACCATACTGTTTCTTTAAAAAGTAGTCGAATTTGAATCTTCGGTGAGGGTCTGATCTCTGTCTCCTTAATGTGATTCCAGGGTATAGTTCAAGAAATTGATTTTGAGAAGTTACATTAAAGGAGAAAATGTTAGGGTTTGGGAAGAGGTTGAGATGCCCTAGGCTTGGGTCTTTATTTATTTCATGTTTTCTCCCAGTAATCTTAGTGCTATTATTTGCTTATCATCCATGGAGTGAGGCTAAAAGAGTTATGTAATTCATATGTAATTTCCAAATACTCCATTTGGAATGGTGAAGTGAAAGGGTGAATAGCATTCTATTTCAGATACATTCTTCTTAAATAGGATAATGAACTTTTGTTTCCATCCTAACAAACTTATTTGATGTCTTCATATATAATTTAGTAGTTCATACAGAAAATTGCATCAAATTTCTCTACTTTCCTTGATTAAATTTATAGCTTGCTTATCTATGATGCTATCAACATTACTTCCTAATAAATGTAAATTAATTATGTACTACTTAATTCCCTTAATGTTATTCAAAACATTAATAAGCTGACTGCAAGAGTAATGTTCTGTATATACATAAATTATGCTGTTCATAAAACTAATTATTACATGTCTAGCATTTTGATGCTCATGAGTTTTTCTTAATTTTATTAGTAAGCCTTGTACAAGTGGCAAATATAAAAGCAATTCTTCCGGAATTTTACAAATAAGAAAAAGTAGAAGCATCTGGCAACTTTAAGAAAGGGCTGAACCAACATGTGAGATGTATGTAAACTGTTCCAAAAGGAATATGTTTACTCCCTTAGGTCATGAGGGTTGTTTGCAGTAAGAAAGCCATTCATGAAGCAGGTCTTTGACACCTGTGTTATCTGGTTTCATAGGTTTCTGACAAGTCAGTAGAATAAGAGCTGGCATTTGTTGAGTGCTTGACTGTGTGCCAATTACTATTCTAAGTCCTTTATGTGTGTTACCGTATACAGCCCTCACCTTACCTTCATGGGGTCAGATATTAGCATCAGCCCCACTTTGCAGACAAAAACTGAGAAGTGAGAAGTTTAACCGCTTGCCCCAGGTCACCCAGCTAGTAAGCAGCAGATCTAAGATTTAAGCACAGGCCAGGGCCATCTGTCTTTAGAGTCTCTGCTTTTAACCTCATGAAACTAAGTTTGAGTTTATCTTTGGTAAAGAATATGATCAGGAACATCAGCATCACTCTCTGAAGAAGCCACAACATTTGAAATTCCTTTTCCTTGAAATAAACAGAGATGGAAGAAAGCCAACCTGCTCAACTGCTTGTTTTATAAATAAGGCAAATGAAGGCCCCCCACCCCTGAGGTGAGTTAGTCACCCATGGTGACACAGCAGTGGGGGCAGGGAGGACCAAGTCTTTTGCTCCTCAGTCCAGAGCACCTTTCACTGCATCAAGCAGCTTCATTTATCCCTGATAGTTTAAGAGGTTAATCCTATCTCAAAGGAGGAGAAAATATGGTAGCTATATCTGGAGTTTGTTCAAATGAAGCAGTTCAATGTGATGGGTTTTAAAAATTACACTTGGTGATTTATGGGTAGATTTCTCAGAGCTTTTTAAAAAAATAATTGATTAATCTTAATTGACAAATAAAAATTGTACATATATTATATAACATGTTTTTGTATATGTATGCATTGTGGAATGGCTAAATCAAGGCAATTAACATATCTATTACCTTATCATATGCTTTTTTGTGTGTGTGGTGAGAACATTTAAAAATCTATTCTCTTAGCAATTTTCAAGTATATAATACATAGTTGTTAACTATAGTCACTATGTTGTACAATAGATCTTGAAATTATTTCCCCTGTTTAACTGAAATTGTGTATCCTTTGACCAAGAATACCTAGCTTTTAAAGTGACATAATAATCAGATTAATGCCAATTTTCCGAAGACGTGTGACAATATCAGAATTCCCAATGGTACATCAGTTCAAATAGCTCAATTTTAAAGAAGCAGTACTTCAGGGCCTATAGATATTTAACAATTAGATGAAGAAATAGTAAAGTGAGTTGTAAGTTTTTGCAGGCATTTCAGCCTCTGGTGTCTCAATCACAAAGTTAAAAAAAAGATTAAGATAGTTATTAGACATTTCCTGTGGACTGATGAGTCTAAATTAAATATATAATATTTAGATTACTTTTGGGTAAAATTTAGATTACTTTTGGGTCAGATTATTTACTTTTGATCATCCTCATGTTTTTGTGCAGAACAACGTTGTTTTTCCATCTCAACTTTAAAAAGCTGGGCCCAGTGATTGATCTGGAACAATCTATGAAAAAAATCACTTAGGCACATGAATCTGTGATATACCAGAATTGAAACTCAAGTTCAGGGCTTGTGTAGGCTTTTTGCAGATCAGTATTAGCCATCTGGATCTCCAGAGAATTTTGAAACTTATTTTGAGTTGTTAATTTCCTTATTTTCTCATTGAAGTCCCCTTTTTTTTTCTGTCCCAATTCAAGATAAGTGTTGTTATAAAATAAATGGACTGTGATTGCAGATTTTACTTGGGAGATTCTGGAGCTCCAGGTATTGTTGGATATCTGAAAGTCCCATTTTCTAACTAAAATCAGTGGAGATCTCTTGGCTATAGGAATTGTCAAATTTGTAGAAGGCAGGAGAGCAGGGTAATTAAAAGCATGGACCCTGGAGCCGAGTGGTGTGGGATTGCTAAGGCAAGTTCTTGCAAGGGCCAGGGAGGTGATCTAGCTGAGTGATGCAGACAGGGTGCAAGGGACAGAGAGGGCATGCCCCATGCAATTGGACAGCCACGAGTTCCATATGATGGTGACCCTGCTGGGGAATGTGGAGGCAGTCTGCTCACCCAATGGCAGGCTCTTCCTCTACTTTTAGCTGCAGAGATGGATTTTACATTAGTTATTTCCAAACATGTTCAGGCCAAACATCAACAGCCTGCTTGCCAGATGTAGCCCGTGAGCCAGTGTGAGATCCTGACACAGATGGTGCTCCATATAGACAAATAAGACCATGCTGTTTTTTTCTGGTGACACCCTCCCTCCCTTTGCAAGTCAGTGAAAGCCTGCCAAGGTGGGGTTTGCTGTGAAACTTTTTCTTTTGGTTGGAAAGTGCATGAAGACTCAACTTTTATTTTGCCACATATTTGAAGATGAAGAAGGAGGAAAGGGATAAAATGATCTTTAATTCTATGGTATATGAACAACTAAAAATTGAAATATGTTCTAAGAATACTAGGAATAGAAAGTAGATATACAGTTCTGACACATTATTAAGTGATTATAAATTGCCAGAAAGAATAGCTGCTGAGTTTCTCAAGTGTCATGCTAGTTTCAGTTCCTTTATTATAGGATTAGCATTTTAAAAGTGTCTCTGAGGAAAAGATGTATTTCTTTTTACCTTGAAAACCTCTTTAACATGGATTGATTTATCATTATGTTATTTTCAAATCATGTCACATTTTTTTTTCAGTAAAATGCTATCTTGTTTTCTTTCATCTACTCATAAACACACTTCATAATTGCAAGTGAATAGAGAAAAGAGAGTAATACATTTGTTAGAAGCATCTTAAAATGAAGTTTAATTAATTACTGACCTATGCTACCTTAATTATTACAGCTTCAGATGTTCTATACAATAGTGGAATTTAATTAAAACCTTCCTAACTAAAGGATGCTTGGTCCTATTTTAGAATTAAGCAGGATTTTGATTTATTAGTACTCTTCTCCTCCCACTCAAAACTTAATGAGGCTGCAAGCAGATCTCCTCGTGAAGGCCTGCACTAACCTCTCAGCTCATCCTGTTCTCCTCCTTCCTTGAATGTTAGAGTCAGTACCATTAGGTTTAGTATGTAGTTACCTTCACAGAGTATAGTCACCCAAATTATACTCTTGTACTTTCCTTGAGGAATCCATGTAATATTTATACTCATATATATGCACCCACTTGTGTTTATCTCAAAAGGAAATATAAAGGAAAGCTTCCCATTTTTTAATTGCTTTTCCTAAATTAACTAGATAGTGTTTCATAAAGTCATAACTGTCTCATGGCATGATCATATTGAACTGAAGAACTCACCACTAATGGGTTTGGAACAGGCTACACACTTGTTGGCATAAAGATGGTTGTAGCAGTCCACGCAGAATGGATAGTCGTCTCTGGACATGAACTGTTCTTCACAGAGATCTTTCCTACAGCCACTACACAGAAAACACTCTTTATGCCATAGCTGGTCACAAAATGTTATCCCACCTGAAGTTATCACCTGCCAAAGACCACAGAAAAGGCAATGACCATGGGAGCCATTACAATTCAGATCATTTCATGATTCTTTTGAGATCCTAGTATCTCTGGGGAGAAAAGGAAGCAAAAAGAAAAAAAAAAGATCATTTCATGTCTTCTATGCCACAACTGGTGCTTTTGGCTACTCTATTTTCACCTTATGTTAGGATGTTCTTTTCCTCAAAAAGTCATTAAAAATTAATAATATGAGAAGCCAAAGGCTATAGGAATTAATTAGAAGTAGAAAGAAATGGAAATTATTGTATATTTTTCTCCTACAATGAAATAGAACAGAGGCAGGGCCATATTGGACTCAGGAAGATGGGGGAGAAAAACCACACAGGTTCTTTTTTCACTTCCTCATACTTCTCTGAATTTTCTTAATTTTGGTTTTTAAAGATCTGCCGTTAGAGCTATTTTCTATACTATGTTCTTATAACTACCTGTCTAACTTTAGGGATGCTTAAAAGAATTCTTCTTTTTCCTGAATGCTTTACACCAGGTCCAAGAATATCCAACAGCAGTAATTCTGAATGGAATTGGTAAGCACCATTATTTGCTAATAACAACTACCATTTCTTAAGTGTTTTTTCAGTCCTTACCACCGTGCTAAGGATGATCTCTTCTGAATATTCTCAACACCTCTACATACTACAGACTATTATCTTTCCCTCTTTTCAGATGAGCAACTAGTGAGGGTTACAGTCATTAAGTTACTTGCCATGGCCATAGTGAGCTAGGATTCAAACCTGCATGGTCTGATTCCACAGCCTGTGTGCATCACCATCAGTGCCATACTGAGTCAAGGTTACCTTACACAGATAAGCAGTTGAAAATCCTTGTTGAATGAATGAATAAATGCCAAAGGAAAAAATAGTTGGAAAGCAATTCCAATATTGTATCTAGCAGTGGGGTGCTGTGGGAATTAGAACTCAATGGAATAAGCCCTGGTTGTACATTGAGCCTTAAGGTGTGATGTGCAGTGTTTTGCCTGAGATGTAATTAGTTCTGCATAAGATAATATTTTCTTTCTAAACCAATTTAATCCATGAATTCTACTTTTTAAAAGGCTGAGAAATCTTTAGTTAGAATCAGATGGATAAATCTTGGGCATTTTTTCTCATGTAACTATTTTTAAGCCACATCACCTTTTGAATTCACAGCTAATGAGCTCTTAGAATTGCTGTAGATACTGGAATGTGTTTTTGTAAGTGTTTTATAATGACTGAAGCAATGGGGTATCTGAGGTGGTTCCTATAACCTTTGTATCAAATTAACTAGGTAGTAAAAACTTAGAGCCTATTTTAAGCCGCCTCGTTGTTTACGAACTCAAAAATGTTATTTGTCTGTTACATAGACTTGTGAAAAAATTATTCTAAAGGTATTTTTAATCTTATAACAAATATCTTAGAAATTAAAGATATTTGATATGAAAGATATTTTCCTAGAGGGAAAAAAGCATACTATTCTGAATAAGTAAATGGGAAGCATAATGTTGTGATGGAAGTAAAGCAATTTAAAATACCTCCTACTGACTTCCAATGCCTTACAGCAGACACAGCAGAATTCATGATTCCTTTGATTTGTTTGGTCTGATGATTAGCAGGCAATGCTTAAAAGATCTGAAACTTGAAAAATGTATTCACAGCAAAATAAAACTTGATATATACACCAAAGACTGTTTAATTAGAGAGAAGAAATTCTGGAACATCAAAAATAGTTTGCTTGTGATTATATTCCTTTTGAAGAGGTAGGAAGGTAAGATAAAGTCTAATATCTAAGCTTGGTTTTCACCACTGATTGATCTCAGGATTTAGAACAAGTTTGTTCTGTGAAAAAGTGGGGGCAATAATGATTTTGCACTCATTATGTGACAGATGAAAAATCGAAGAAGACGTTTAACTCCTTTTGAACCTTGAGGAGTTTGAATTTGAAGCACTTGTAGTTTAAAATCATTTGCTTTCTGGCAGAAAATAAATCTTAGTTTAACAAAATAAAATCTATGGATTTTAAAGCTTAAAAGTTCTAACAGCCTGGTTGTCAAGTAGTTTTTCCTTTTTTTAAGAAAATATTTGGTCTTTGGTTTGGGTTGAAAAAAATTGTTTAGATTGGATCATCTTGATCAAAAACAAATCTAGCTTTTTAGAAAAGGACTTGTGGTTTTAAAAACTAAATAAAAAATAATCTGGCATGTCATAATCTGTCTACTACCCAATATAAATATTTTGTAAATTTTTGATGACTTCAAATCATATCCTAAATATAGTTACAGGCTCCAATAACCTGGGAAACATCAGCACTTGGCCCAGACAGTGCTCAGCATGGATGTACTAAAGAAGTTTCACTCTTGAATTGTTATAGCATTGAAAGAGTCTTCATTATTGTGTCTGATAAATGATTTTAGGATAATTCTCACAAATATCATTACTGTTTTAGTCTGTCTTTAAGAAATGCAGCCTAAAATTGGCCAACTCAGTTGTCTCTCAAAACAGTGAGATAAACCTATTCATTTTATTTCCAGCAAGATTTTATTTTCTTTAGTTTTTAAGTTTTGTATATTTTTTAGAGATAGGATCTCATTGTCACCCAGGCTGGAGTACAGTGGCTCAATCATAGCTCACTGCAGCCTTGAATTTCTGGGCCCAAGTGATCCTCCTGCCTCAGCCACCCAAGTAGCTGGGACTACAGGCACGTGTCACCATACTTGGCTAATTTTTAAACTTTTTTTTTTTTTTATACAGACAGGGTGTCACTATGTTGCCCAGGCTGGTCTTGAACTCCTGGCCTCAGGCAATCTTCCCACCTTGGCTTTCCAAAGTGTTGGGATTACAGACGTGAGCCACCATGCCCAGCTCCAGCATGTTTTTAAATGCCGTCATTGACCCTGGTAATTCTTTGGAGCTTCATATGTCATATGGCTTGATTGCTGCTTGTAAAGTCACCTTCTAAGCCAGTGTTTTGGTAGAGTAATGAAGGTCTCAGTCATAAGATTATTTTATGTCATGTGATCAATTGTAATTCTCAGCCATCAACATAGTGTAATTTAATAATGATAACTTAGCATAGTGTATTGCTGCCTCTTTAAATGCAGTAGTGGTATTGGTTATGTATGTTAAACAGTTAACTGCGTGTGTGTGTGTGTGTGTGTATGTGCATGTGTGTTCACATATGTGTGCATAGAAAGTGGTAGTGTGACTTCCAGCTGTCCAGATATACAAATGGGCTTAAGAGTTCTGCCAAAGTAACCCACAGATAAAAAATACTTTGAAACCACTATACTAATCCAATGTATTTTCATGATTCAGCTTTCTCATGACAATTTATGGTGTCATTTTAAACTTATGATGCCTCGCAGGTCAAGGATTTCTTTGAGAACCTCCATATATATTTTATGGAATGCAGACAGGCTTCATCAAGGTGTTAGAGCTACTTTTTCACATAAAAGCTTAGAGGATAAAAAAAGAATTGGATGAAGTTTACTTCAAAAATATTACTTTTTTTTTCTCTTAGAAAATGTTTTTTTTGAGTGGGAAGCCAAGTCAGAAGGCCCTACATGATCCTGGAACTGGAGTGAAGGAACTTGCTGCTCTTAGTCTTCTTTCTGTCTTTTGTCTACTGAACTTCCCCCATGATCTTGGCACTCTCTTGAGCCGATTGCCCTACTCATAGGAAATACAAAAGCTTCAAGTCAAGAAGACATTTGCATTGCTGAGAAAGAATGTGAGAAGTTAAACATCCTGTTTAACTTGGTTCCCTTAGTCACTTTGTGAGGCAAATCCATATTTCTCTGAAACAGTTAATACTGAATAGATCAAACATTATTTTTTAAGAAACATCTGTATTCAAAGAGAGACCTGTGCTTTCTCCCAGAATACGTGAGATCTTGTATAAAAGCAGTGAATGGGCCGAGTGTGGTGGCTCATGCCTGTAATCCCAGTACTTTGGAAGGCCAAGGCAGGTGGATCACCTGAGGTCAGGAGTTCGAGACCAGACTAGCCAACATGGTGAAACCCTGTCTCTACTAAAAATACAAAAATTAGCTGGACACAGTGGCACGCACCTGTAATCCCAGCTACTTGGAAGGCTGAGACATGAGAATCTCTTGAACCTGGAAGGCAGAGGTTGCAGTGAGCCGAGATTGTACCACTGCACTCCAGCCTGGGTGACAGAGCGAGATTCCATCCCAAAAAAATAAAACAACAACAACAACAAAAAACAGTGAAATGAACTGGAATACCAAATCACTTGAGCTGTTTGGAATATTAAATTCTTGTTGTGGCTGGAATTTTATGGTTAATAAAAAAAAAAAAGATGGTCATGCTCATCGTGACAACTAGTGGTTTGGACATGTTGAAAGTCCAAACTACCATGGGTGTGTTGATTACAGATATAACATAATAGTATCAGTTCATTCTAAATATATGATACAGCTAAAAAGAAATAGTCTGAGTTTCCACAAGCTTCACCCTCTTTAGAAAATTACCTTCTTACAAAAGTTGCAGTAGTGAGCAAACTCCTTCTCAAAACATGGCACACAATAATTGCCACTCTCTTTGGAGATCAAAGGCTTTGTCCCTATAGGTTGTCGGCAATTCTCACACACAAAACAGGTTTCATGCCAGTAGTTTCCCTTAAATTCCATTTTGCGGGAACCTGTACTCCAAAAGTAAGGCCATGTTAGTATAAGTCAAGCATAATTTTATTTTTTAAGCAAATACAGATCAAATTACTTAAAAACGTTTTAAGTTAAGATGATAAATGAATTGTCCTTTTAGAAAAATAGTATTTTTTCAGGTTCAAAAAAACCCATTCATCTGGAGAAAAAAAAATGGTTAATAAAGTTTAGCCATGATGATGGAGAATCACTCTTAGACTGAAAACTTTTTCAAGCTCTGCATAACCTATAATCTGGAGATGTAAAAGTACTTTTAATGGAGACTCCTAATGGTTTCACATGGTTTGGATAAATTGGGCCATAATAATCATTACAAGGGTATTAAAAATGCCCAGAGCACAACTACTGAGACTATACTGTGCAGTTATGGCCTTCTAGAAATTCTCTGAATCCATAATAAGAAAATGAGAGAGCAAGAGTGGCAGAGAATGAATTATGTTCTTATGCTGCTGACCATAGAGATTGAGAAGATCAAAATATAAAGAATTAGTCCTTGCCAAAAGTGGAATGATATACATGAACCCTGTCTTCCCTAAGAGAGAATAACAATAACCGATCCTCAAAACAGTTTGTGTCAAGCTACAAAATGGCAGTTGGCCCCAATCGCCTATGATGAATCACTCTTTCTGATGCCATTGATTGTGCCTAGGGCACTGTGTTTAATGTAGTGTTATTGGTATACATTTTGTCTTTATTTTATGGGTAAGATTCTGGTTTGAAATGTTTCTATGAATTAGACTATATGAAAATACACAGAACACTGTAATTTACCTGTTCAAGGATAATGAATGAATAATCTTTTTATTTCTAAAGTACACGGAAGAAGATTGAGAGAGTAAGAAAGATATCTTTCTCAAAACCAGGGTTTTGGGAGCTGCTGCACTCCTCATGTGCTGGGACTTAATGAAAAGCATCACAGCTTCAGTTAGAGACAGGAGCCCCCTTGAGACCCTACCAGGCATGATGGTCCTCTTGCAGTGGAAGCACTTGGAGGAGCACTCGTTAGAATAGCACTCCGTGCACAGCAGGCGCTCATCCTTGGCAGCAAAAGGCTTTTCCACCAAAGAGTGATTGCATTTGGTGCACTTGAAGCATCCTTCATGCCAGTGCCGGTCTTTGTAACAAAGATCCTTTGAGACAGTAAATAAAAGTTAATTAAATGTGGTTGTGACAATACAGGCCATTTTATGAAACAAAACTGAACACTCCTGGGACTCTCATGTCAGTAGGTTGTGCTAGTAGCGTGAGGGAAAGTTGTTACTGAAACTGTTACCCATAGAGAGGAGACTCTCTGGGGTAATTAAGAGCTAGAGCCCAGGGCTTTCTTGGTGGGTCACTTAAGGCAGCTGGGAAAAAACAAATACATTCTCTGCTGTGTCTTCAAAATTTGCCTATATTCTTTTTATAAACTATAATAGAGGTTTTTCATGGAATGATTTTTAAAAATTTTAGGGTGCAATGTTCTATTACTCTTTGAGATGTAACTAAACAGACAAAAAATAACATCACCTAAGTAAAACAAAGGCAGAAAGAGGGAAGAAAGAGACAGAGAGAGAGAGAGAGAGAGAGAGAAAGAGAGAGGAAAATAATCGGAGGATGGAAGGAAGAAAAGAAGAAAGAAAGAAAGAAAGAAAGAATAAGCATGTCGGAGGAAGGGGTGGTAGGTGTGAGAGGTATCAATAGGGTTTAGTAAGAAATGAAGCTGATTTTACATCAGAAAACAGATTTTGAATCCTTTCAACTTCAATTCTTTATGCATTTATTTATACCCTTGTCATTCCAGAAATAACAAACACACCCAGAAGGTTACTGAGAGCTTGGAAACAGCAGGAAAATTCTAGCTGTGTAACTTTGGACAAATAGCTTAACCCCTTTAATCTTTAGCATTCTCAGCTACCTTAGAAGATCATGTGAGGATTAAGCATATGTTGTATTTCATAGTGCTAAGTGTAGTGGCTGGAGCTTGACTGCTGGTAACTTTTAAGATCCTTATATATCCAGTAGCAGAGAAATAGTGTTGAAAGTCAACACTAAATGAAAAGAGGCACTCCAACCCACTTGTTTGCTGTTCATAGGCAGTAATTCTGTAAATTGAGGTGAGACTTACCTTAGAATCAGATTCAATTGGTTTTTTGCATTCCTCGCAATAGTTAGAAAATACACGATCATAACATGTAACACAGTATGGACTGTCATCCTTTAGTACATATTTCTTCCCAAGAAGTGATGCTGTGCAGTATTGACAGTAAAAGTGAGCAGTTGTCATTTTGGTTTGATCCTATGAATGACAAAGTGATTAATGTATATAAAAGCAGAATTTTGTTTATAGGATAAATGATGAAACCTTAATATAATGTGAGTGAAGCATTTGAATGAACTTATATTTTCTTAAGCAAAAATCCCCCAATTTAGGAAAGTATGCTTATAGTCATGGTGACATTTGGAGTGATTTAGGAAAGATTACTCTCCCATCTTGGCAGTTCCCTGTATGTTTTGCTAAAAAAAAATGCATAAAACCTGCATCTAGATTATGAAAAACATCTTGTGTTTATCATAAGCTAATGTGGAATTCAATGAGAATATGGTATCTGTTGAAACAGGATGGTTTTACCTCAAGGATATAAACTGTTGCTAGGGCTTTTAATAACTATCATCACTTACTTTCTTGCTGGAAAATTCTAGAGGCAGATTTTGATGGAAATAACAGTCTTTTTTACTCAAATATAAATTAATAATCAGTACATTGTCATTTTCTAGTTCATTCTTTTACTCCTCAAGTCTTTACTGAATACCTAATAAGGGCTCTGCACATTTACCCTGAGGTCTTCGTGTACTACATCCCCTCCTTGGCTGTGGCTTCCACCATCCCAAATGTGCTGATGACTCCAAAATCTCTGTTTTCTGCTAGCTTTAGATATCTTCATTTAAATGTCCTTTACCAAACTGGCCAAATAAAACTCCTCAGCAGGTAGGATTCTCAGACCAAGTGCTAGGTCTTTGTGACTATTGTGAACAATTGCCCAGATGCAGAAGTGCAGATAAAATCATCAGTGGTAGAAAACAACAATGGGTTCCTTCAGGCTTTAGGGCCAAAGTAACATGTATAGAGCATAAATAATAGCAGCAGCTATTCCATTATAGCTATGGATAAAATAGCTAGAATTCATCTGCAAGGCAAAATGCATTCTGTAAGATGAATAAAAAAGCTGATATGAAACATAAAGCCAGTGATAGATAAGGACTCTGATTGTTTTGTAAATTTGGAAAGCCATTAAGAAACAATGCACAGCCTGTAGTCCCAGCTACTCGGGAGGCTGAGGCAGAAGAATGGCGTGAACCCGGGAGGCGGAGCTTGCAGTGAGCCGAGATTGTGCCACTGCACTCCAGCCTGGGCGACAGAGCCAGACTCCGTCTCAAAAAAAAAAAAAAAAAAAAAAAAAAAAAAAAAAAAAAGAAACAACGCATATAGATTTCCAGGTTTTAATTAGGCATTGAACATGAATTCTTTGTTGTTACAAAAAAAAATTAGCACTGCTTTTCCTTGGAAAATGAGATTTGTCATCTCAGGGTTTACTGGAATATATTAGGAGCTTTGAATATTTTCTAATTCTCCCCCCACATAATTTTTCTTTTAATTTTAGCAAAATCAGAGGAGCAATTAACGATAATACAACAGAGTTTTTGATACTAGTTTGTACTGACTACATTTGAACTCTTATTCTCATGCGTTTTGCCTTATTCTAGTGATGAAATTCCCAGCAGAGAGCCTTGCTGAATGCACATGATTATTAATTCTGTACATAGCAGTTTTGCTATATTGTTCTTCACTAACAAGTAGAGAAAAGGCAGAGGATTTGGAATATGTGGGTCTTTTCCCAGGAAAGAGATGAAATGCAGACTAGAAAGTTCGCAATGGAACATGGCCAAAATTATCTAAAAGGAACATTGAATTCTCCATTTGATTAATTCCACAGAAATGTTCCTTCCTAGTGAATACAAACACACTCAGAGGGTTACCGAAGGCTTGGAAACAGCAGGAAAATAGATCTAATTCCCTTGAAAGGTTTAAAAATAAAAGTTGTATTCACATTTACAGCGATCAAGTGTTTGTCACTTTATAGAAATAAAATATGTACCTTTAACTCTCTTCACTTAATATGGAAAACGTCGTTTTCATTAATATTTATTTTAGTTTTAGATGTGTATAATAGCATCATGAAACACGGCCCCTCAGGGGTTAGGAACTGCAGTCTACTGCCATTTTGTGAGGCTTTTAGTGTATTATAAAATGAATATATAAAACATATAAAACCACAAAAGGGATTACCAAATTGATAATATTTCAATTGTTTATTTTAAATGACACTTTAAACATGACAACATCAAAATACCTGTAACTTATTTAGTGATCAGATCAGAAGTCTAAATATAAGACAAGACGGTCCTTCTCCCACCCCAGTCCTAATTACATAACAGGCCTGGATCCACAGAAAATGCCTTACAATATAGACCATATTTCTTAATTTTTTGTTTTGTTTTGTTTTTTGAGACAGAGTCCTGCTCTATTGCCCAGGCTGGAGTGCTGTGGTGTGATCTCGGCTCACTGCAACCTCTACTTCCCGGGTTCAAGCCATTCTCCTGCCTCAGCCTCCTGAGTAGCTGGGACTACAGGCTCATGCCACCGTGCCTGGCTAATTTTTGTATTTTTAGTAGATATGGGATTTTACCGTGTTGGCCAGGATGGTCTCAATCTCCTGACCTCAAGATCCGCTCACCTCGGCCTCCCGAAGTGCTGGGATTACAGGCGTGAGCCACCGCGCCTGGCCTCTGGAAAGAAGAAATTCACTTCTTATTCAATTCTGTTTTGTAAAAGCAACATCAGGGAGTTGGGTAGGGTGAGAACAGAATCAGTCTAATATCTCAAAACCTTGTGATTTTATACTTGTAGGACTATACAGTGGGAGGAAGCATTTGGTTCAGGTCAACATTTCTTGAATATTTACTTAGTGATTTGAACTCCCTGCCCACTCAAGGAGTCTGGATTATCTTATAGCTCGTATCTTAGTAATAGTTAATGTAATTTGAGGTAAGTGAGCAAACTGAATGTTTATCCTCTTCTTCTTGGTTAGAAAAAATACACTAAGAAATTCATTCCTCATTTTCATGAAGTCTATCATTTAACTATTGATCTTTGAATACATCCAAATAGTGTTTCTTAAAAATAGAGGTATTATAACTATATAAATGATACACACTCTATTAGAACCATATAGAATTCTTAGAGAACTATTATAATAGAAAGGAGAGTGAGGAGAGACCTTCCTAGGAAGATCTTAAGGAAGTTAAGCTGTTGGAAATCTGTTAGGAAGGAAGGAAGGTTGGAATAAAGGAATGAAGAAAAGAAGCAAGGAAAGAAAGAAACAAGGAAGGAAAGATCAAACTGTTTATTGAGGAAGGGAAAAGAGAAGTGAGAGAATGGCATAGGAGCTCATTTGAAGATGGGAAATGTTGAGTCGTGAGAATAAATTTTCACCTGGGTACATTAAGGATGAAGAAGGATCTTGAAACTTTTAAGCTTTTTAACTTTAAAGCTTTTTCTGTTCTCACCCTACCCAACTCCCTGATGTTGCTTTTACAAAACAGAATTGAGTAACAAGCTTTTGATTTGAACTTTGAATGCAAGTAGTTCTAACTGGGATGGAGCAGGCAGAAGGTAAGAGTATGAATTTTTCCAATCTGACCACTTTTTACTATCTTACAATTTTCTAAACATTATTCTTTACTTTTTCCTCCTCTTTGTCACTAACATTAATAGATTAAAATTCTCAGGGAATAACTCTGTGTCCAGAAGAGCAAGCCAAATAGCTTGTTTTAACCATTCCCTAACAGGTAGAGCTGTAGGAAAGAGGATGAGGACTATGTGATTTTTGTCTCAGGAATCCGCACCTGAGGGCTAATTTTCAAAGATATTGGAAAATTTTTGCTTTCAAAGATTAAAAATTCTTGAGCAAAGCTGTTCTTATTTATGAGCTGTAAGAACTATTAATATAAACATGTACCCCAATTGGTTAGCATTCAACTTTTCTAGGTGTGAACTCAGCAGTGCTAGTCATTCACTTGCAATATATCACTTAGACATTCTTGTCAAACTTCTTTCAAAGTTATTCAGCAACTAACACAACATTTAAGCCCGGAATTTTTATCTTTGCATATTGGGATTTTAGAAGGTTTATTTAGAGGTGCACTGATATATCAAAGAACATAATGAAGACAATGAGTAGAAGACAGATGAGTAGTTCAGAAATTCAATGGCGTGAATAGACTTGGCTTTGTTTTTCTAGTTTGCTCCTTTAAATTTTAGATTTCTCCCTAAAAAGATGTAAGTTTGGCTGTGCTGTGGCTCACGCCCGTAATCCCAGCACTTTGGGAGGCCAAGGTGGGCAGATCACCTGACGTCGTGAGTTTGAGAGCAGCCTGACCAACATGGAGAAACCCCTGCTCTACTAAAAATATAAAATTAGCTGGGTGTGGTGGTGCATGCCTGTAATTTCAGCTACGAGGGAGGCTGAGGCAGGAGAATCACTTGAACCCAGGAGGTGAAGGTTGCAGTGAGCCTAGATCGCACCATTGCACTCTAGTCTGGGGAACAAGAGTGAGACTCCATCTCAAAAAAAAAAAAAAAAAAAAAGATGTAAGTTCACTGGTAATAGTTTCTGTAGCTGAGAATGTTATTTCTTAGGTGCTATTTTTTAAATAGCTATTTTTGTATTTTATAGTGAGTTATTGATGAAAAGCCTAATGCTATGAGTAATATATCCACTTAACATTCTTAACATTTTTACTATGCTATGCAGAATGAATAGACTCACAAGAAGTGTAGTTGAGAACATTTCATGTGGGAGAGAGGCAAGGACTAGGTGCCATCCCTGGTATCTTTAATATACTATTGTTTGCAAGGCATCACACACCATCTATTTATTAATGCGTTTGAAAAACATGTAAAATACATGTCATTTGCAAAGTAATTTGCTACAAGTTGTAAAGGATATAAAAATAGACACACTGTCTGCAGAGAGCTTATGATCTAGCAGGAAGAGTAAGGACATTTCATAAATCACTAAACAAAAGTTAGAAAGTGATGAGAATAAATGAAAGGTTATAAGTTTTAGAGCAGTAGTTCTAAACATTGGGTACACATTAGAATTTAAAAAATATCCAAGGTGCACCCCTGCCTCAAACCAAATAAATTAGACTTTTTGGGAGTGCACTAAAAATAAGTATTTTTCAGTTCTCAAGTAGTTCTAATGTCCAGTGTGGGTTGAAAGCCACCCCCTTAAAGAAGGAGGAAGGACAATTACTTTCAGCTAGGAAAAATTCAGGAACAACTTGAAGCAGTGGCATCTCAATGAATTTTGTAATGGATATTATGGATTGGCCTTCCCAAACTTGGTTTTATCCTTCTTCAAGTTGGAGGGATCAAGGAGCTAAAGGCATTTCCTGGATCCTCTTACAGTGTGTGTTCAGGATGCAGATTTGGCTCGGCTACAAACACATGTGAAAATCTGCAGGTGAATATGAAATGAAAGACATGTTCCTGCTGCTGTTGATGGTGGCAGATTGGCTGGCTGAGATGTGAGTGGTTTCTATCCATTCAGAATGCCAGGGTTCAGTTTTCCTAACTAGTGTTTTGGCTGTGAGAAACAGTTGTGGCAGTACTCGTGGTGGCAGCAGCGAGTTGACCTCTAGGTCACCAGCAGAATGGGTGTGGAAGCAGGCAAAGGGCAGTCTCTACCACATTTGGGGTAATTTTAGAAAGACTAACCATAATATTTAATACTCCTTTATGTTTCCTGAACATATAGGCTGAGTCCTGTGTCAACTACTGTATGTGGATCTTTTTAAATCTTTGCAATGGTTTCCTGAGGAGGTCTATTATTATTATGCTCATTTGATGGATGAGCAAACCAAAACTTAGGAGGCCAAGATCACTTGGCTGATAAAAATGCTAGGTCTAGTGTGCAAGTCTATACCTTTTAGAAACTGAAGCCCAGGATCTTAGCCAGTGTAAACCTCCCCTTTCCTTGAGATGTGGAGAAGGGCATTTAGATGCAGCAGCAGAACTGGGAAGGGCAGTGACACTTGTATATGTGAACACTTGTATATGACACTTGCATGGAAAACAGTAAGTACTGTATTCTAAATGGCTTGCAGAGCATGAGAGGGTAAATATTGGAAGATAAATTTGAAAAGGAAGACTAGGGCAAGGTCATCAATGGCTTAAGTTTCATGCTAGATTTGAACTTTTTTCTATAGAAAAAATATAATCATTGATGACTTAGAACAGGTAAGTGCCATGTTTTGAGCTGAGACTTATGAGAATTAATTTAGAAACAGTGATAGAAGGGATTAAAGATAGATATACCATAAACAGGAAATCAATTCGAAACTCATTTTTCAACATGTGGCCTAATCAACAAATGTCATGCCTTCTGTACAAAATGTGATTTTTTTTGTGTTGGAGGGGAATACAGAGAATCAATGAGCTATTCCCCTTAAGGGAAAATTCATTAAATAAACAAATCATAAAAATAAAATATATTAATCAATTTACATGAACAAGTAATTATATATAATGTATAATGTTAAACACATGTATACATATTAAATTATATTGGTATATATTATATATATAAAGAGAGAGTTGCAGAGACTGTGAGATCAAGTGATAGAAGAATACAACCATGTATGAAGTCTTGGAATTCTGAGAAGCCAAAGACTGAGTCTTGTTTAAGGGTGAGTATGAAGTGGAAATGAGGAAAGGATGGAAGCATTTGGGGTATTCATGTTGGAGGTAATGATGGCTTGATTTAGAAAAGAGTATTGAGATCATGTGTGGGAGCAAGATGCAGTAGGACTTAAAAAGTGAATGCATCTGGGAGAGAGAGAGAGAGTCATTCTGAAATTTCATATACGGTTCCTGGTAGAATTAGTATGCCACTAATAGAAGACGGGAGTACAGGAAGAGAAACTAGTTGGAAGACAAGATTAACTCAGGTTTAGTTATATTGAATTTGAGGAACTAAACTAGATAGCCATCAAGCTGTATGTTCAAAATACTAGGCATCAAAATGTCATGTTAGATTAAGAAGTTTAGACTATTTTCCTGGATGAGCTAATTGGTAGTTGAGGAGCTACAATGGTAACTGAAGTTATGAGACTGAATGAGACCATCAAAGAAACCCTAGTGTAGAAAAGTGAAAAAAAAAGATAAAATACAAACTCACGGATAAATGCATGTTATGTGATGGGAAAGAGATGAAGCAGATATCGTGAAGGTCACAGTGTTTTCAAAGACAAAAGAAATGAGAACTACAAGAAGAGAATATATATTAATAACAATTAAGGAAAGTGTCAACAAGAAGGTAAATGATGTCTTCAAAAGAATAGTTTGGAGACACTAAATTGTCTGATGTCAGATTTCAGAGTTAAAATGTGAGTGACAAGATGCTCATTGCTGACAGCTTAGAAAATTGCATGTTCAAAAACACACGCCTAAGGAATAAAAAACGAACAAAATAAAATGTGTTGCCGAACTGGCAAGAAAGTAAGGGAAAATCTCAGAGGCTAAAACTAAAAAGAAAGCAGGAAACTAGAAAGGTTAACACTCTCTAAAGGAGCCATTTGTCCTGAGGATGTCTTCTGAGCCATGATGACCTTGTTATCCAAGTATTTACAGCCTGAACTTATACTAACTGTAAGGTCTAAAACTCTTAGGTTTTAGTTTAAAAGGCTTAGTTTAAAATGAAACACAAGAAAATCCTCTATGAAAGAATGTCCCATCATCCTAGGCCTAAAAAAAATCATACATATAAATTTTCATTGAGCATGAATTCACAATTAAAATATTTAAAATAAGAATAAGCAATGAAAACAAGCAGTATAAGTAAAAATCCAGCAAAGAAAATACTTGGATCACCAACAAAACAATTTCACATGAGAAATAACAGATACAAAATGGAAAATAATGTTTAACATATTTAAAGACATAACAGAGAGCATTATATAGAAAAATTCAGGAGAATAAAAATGACTAGGCAGATTTGCAACAGAACTGATAGAAATAAAAGAGATAAAAACTTATCATTAAAATTAAAACAGATTAAAATGCAGATTAGAATCAGTTGAAGGGAAAATTAATAAACTTGGAAATAGAACTAAAGATATACTATAAAATACAATGAAGAAAGAAAAAGAGATAGAAAATATATCAGTTAAAAAGAAAGTAGAAGATAGAGTAAAAGAATTTGACCTAAGTCTTTACAGAATTTCAAAAGAAGATAATAGAGAAAATGAGAAATATGCAAAGGTTGGAGATAGAATTGAATTTCCAAGAATTAATGACATTAATATACAGATGCAGAAAGTAAAACAAATTTCAGGCATCATAAAAACAAACACATCATAGTAAAGATGTCATATTCCAGAGACAAAGATGATCTTAAAGACATTCAAAGAGAAAAAAAAATGTCTAAAACACCAACAATTAGATATGCAGATAACTTCTAAACAGCAACAATAGAAACCAGAAGAAACTGAAATAATGCTAAGAGAAAATAAGTAAACTCTAGACCTGTATACTCAGTGAAGCTTAATTTAAAGAATAGGATGACATAAAAACATATTTAAGTTGACAAAAGCTATGTTTACTACCAAAAAACCTTCACTGAAGGGAATTCTAAAGAATGTGGTTTGAAAAAAAAGAAAGAAAAAAAGGAAACTCTCTAACGGAAGGTTTAGGAAAACTGAAGACAAAAAGAAAGAATAAGGAGCAAAGACCTCGACTAACATGCAGTTACACAAAAATAAACATTGACTGTATGAAAAAACAATAATAATTTGTGGGGTTCAAAAACACATAATAATACTAATGTACTGGGGAAAATAGCATTTAAGTGAGGAAAGAGTTGATTGTTAATCCTTGTATTGCTGGAAAAGAATACATTAACTGAATTACATTAAGATTAAGCATTCTCATGTTAAAATTTTAATAATAAGTCATTAGATTTGTTAAATTTTAATGGAAAACTCTAAACATAGAAATAGAAATAAGTAAAACAAAATTATTTCATAGAAAGTACGTAGGAAAAAGAAAACTAGAAAACTGAGACATCACAAAAGAAGAAGATATATGATACATTTTAAACCCAAATCAAACCAAATGAGTGGTTAAACTTTCTTGGTTGAAAACCAAAATATTCCAAAGATGATCCAAAAGTAACTGTCAACATCTGCAACCAATCTGAGTTCAAATCCCAACAAATTCTTGTCAGCTTCAACCAAAGATTAGATGAAAGGGAAATATAGTTTTCTTTAATACTATTTGAACCCAGAGGTCGGCCTAATTTAATATTTTTGTTAACTGTAACTCAGCACAACACTTGACAGAAACTAAAAGTTCTGCCCCTTGACCTAGCCATGTGACAAGAAAGGAGTGCATCCTCTGGGGGTAAAACAAAATGAAACAAAAATTGTACATGTGTATTTTGTTCCAATGTTTGGCAGGCAAAAAATTATAAGACACCTCAAGAAGTAAATACATACATACATATATATATATATATATATATATATATATATATATATATATATATAAATTCTAATATTTATTGGATCCTTTTCCAGTTCTTTCATTTTTCTGCTGAAATCATTTATACATTCACTCATTCTGTTCATTTCCTTCCAAATATTTAACATAAGTATAATAAAGTCCCTGTGGGGGCTTATGTTTAAAAATATTTGTAATAGAGAATTCAATGGATAAGATTATCAGCAGACTGAAAAAAGCAAAAGTAAAAATCAGCAACCTTGAAATGAAACAAACTAATGCATAAAGAGAAAATTCACTAAATGAAGATAATAGAAATAATTTTTCCCCAAAATAAAATTGTTGAAAGACTTCCAGTCCAATAATGGTACTCTGTATAATTCAAACCATGAGGCTGCTGTGAACCACTAGAGAAGCTAGTACTTAAAAAGTGTACTTAAAAAGTGTAGCTTGGAGGCATCAGAGAATTAATATTACAGTGAAGAATAGGCAAAGTCCAAAGGAAGGAGAAAAGCGTAGATGAGCTTGGTATTTGCTTTCCACAGAAGAATATGTACATCCAAAAAGATAAAATGAATAGTCTGAGAAGCTGTATGGCACTTCTGACAGCCTAGAAAGGCTAAGGGGACAAAGATTGAGGTCAATGGACCTTCCATGTAGCAGGCCTGGTAAGCTTATCATTGTGTAGGTGATATTTCCAAAGAGCTATGCCCTTGGAGTAACGTAAATTAGAAGTAAACTAGTATTTCAGAGATGGAAGCCCAGCTTTGAATTACCTCAGTTTCTAAAATTATATTAAGATAACCTTGGAATTCTGGTATCCCTAGGTGAACACCAGAATAAATACACATCCTGTCTGAAGGAAGAAAACATCATCTTAGGCCTCAATTACTTCTACACCAATGTCTAGCACTAAACAAAAATGACCATGTTCAGAAGAAGACAAGGGAATATAAAGAATAGAAACATACATGCAGGAAGCCATAGATTTTGGAGTTATAAGACAGAACATAAAACTATCCTTAATATGTTCAAGGGGGTAAATAAAATAAGGAGCAAAAATTTTGCAGAGAATTAAAAACAATGAAAAAGAATGAAATGTAAATTATAGTACAGAAATATACAATGATTTAAATTAGGGACATAATGGGAAATTTTAGAAAAGATTGTATGAAATGAAAAAGATGATAAAATAGAAAATAAAATTAAGCATGATGATAAAAGGTATAAAAAGTACAATTAAGAAAGTAAGAAACATAGATGATAGAATGAGAATGAGAAAAGAGAAAAATATACAAGTTGTATTTGAAGAAACAATGGCCCATCTTCCAAAACTGACAAAATACATGCCCCAAATTTTAAAAACCAAGAAAACATGAACCTCAACTGACCTGAAAAACACACTTGGACACATCAGGGTACAACTACTAAAAACGAAAGACAAATAACATATCAAAAGTAGATTATAAAATGTTGCGGGAAGTCAGGGACCCTGAACGGAGGGACTGGCTGAAGCCATGGTGGAAGAACATAAATTGTGAAGATTTCATGGACATTTATTAGATCCCCAAATTAATACTTTTATAATTTCTTATGCCTGTCTTTACTGCAATCTCTAAACATAAATTGTGAAGATTTCTTGGACACTTACCACTTCCCCAGTCAATACCCCTGTGATTTCCTATGCCTGTTTTCACTTTAATCTCTTAATCCTGTCATCTCGTAAGCTGAGGAGGATGTATGTTGCCTCAGGACCCTGTGATGATTGCATTAACTGCACAAATTGTAGAGCATGTGTGTTTGAACAATATGAAATCTGGGCACCTTGAAATAAGAACAGGATAACAGCAATGTTCAAGGGAATAAGAGAGATAACCTTAAACTCTGACCGCCAGTGAGCTGGGCGGAACAGAGCCGTATTTCTCTTCTTTCAAAAGCAAATGGGAGAAGTATCACTGAATTCTTTTTCTCAGCAAGGAACATCCCTGAGAAAGAGAATGTGCCCCTGAGGGTGGGCCTCTACAATGGCCCCCTTGGGTGTGGCCATCTTCTATGGTCAAGACTGTAGGGATGAAATAAGCCCCAGTCTCCCATAGTGCTCCCAGGCTTATTAGGACGAGAAAATTCCCACCTAATAAATTTTGGTCAGACAGGTTGCTCTCAAACCCTGTCTCCTGATAAGATGTTATCAATGACAGTGGTGCCCGAAACTTCATTAGCAATTTTAATTTTGCCCCGGTCCTATGGTCCTGTGATCTCGCCCTGCCTCCATTTGCCTTGTGATATTCTATTATCTTGTGAAGTACCTGATCTCTGTGACCCACACCCTATTCGTACACTCCCTCCCCATTGAAAATCCCTAATAAAAACTTGCTGGTTTTACAGCTCAGGGGACATCACGGAACCTATCGACATGTGATGTGTCCCCCAGATGCCCAGCTTTAAAATTTCTCTCTTTTGTTCTCTGTCCCTTTATTTCTCAAACTGGCTGACACTTAGGGAAAATAGAAAAGCACCTACATGAAATATCGGGGGTGAATTTCCCCCCGATATCTGGCTGAATTTCCCCTGATAATAAAATATTACTTTCAGATTAATAACAAATTGAGGATACCTACTTCTCAACAGAAAAAAAAGGAAGCTAGACAATGGAGAGATATATTCAAATTGCTGAAAAAAATTAGCAGCCAACCTAGAAGTCTATGCCCAGGTAAAAGATCTTTTGACAATGAAGGTAAAAGCATTTTCAGGCCATCAGAAACTAAATTTATTAATCATCCACCCACGTTAAAATAATACCAAACAGTGTTCTTTGGGCAAAAGTACACATTGGAGATCACAGGTGCGGAAAAGAGTAGGGAAAAAATGAAAACCGTAAACATGTAGATGAATCTATGTAAATCTGACTATGTACAACAACCCTGTGTCAAAGAATTAGAAAATTTAGGTAAAATGGAAAAATCTAAAATAAATAAAACTATTAAAATTGACACAAGAAGAAATAAAAAATTATGACAACTATTAGATAAGTTGAATTTGTAATTAAAAAGGCTACATACAGAGGGAAATAAAGCCAAAGTGGCTTTACCAGTGAATTTTGCCAAGCTTTAAAGAAGAAATAACAGCAATCTCACACAAACCAAATCAAGTAAGTACAAACAGAGAACATGCTCTGGTAAATTTTGAACTCATTAACACTTTGGTATCAAAATCTAAAATCATTATGAGAAAGGAAAACTATAGGTCCATAATACTTCTGACAATAAATACAAAACCCAAACCCAAATAACAAGCAACTAAATCCAGTGATATATGAAGAGATTAGTATATCATGATCAAGTTGATTTCATTTTAGGAATGCCAAGTTCAGTTTAAAATTCAAGAGAATCACTGTGTTTCAATAATTTTACCAAGTAAAAGTGAAAGCTGTAAAATTACCTCAGCAGCTGCAGAAAAGGCATTTGATAAAATCTTACTTCAATTTATGATTAAAAACTCTTAACAAACTAAAAATGAAAGAAACTTCTTCAATGTGGTTTAAAAAAACCTATAGCGAACACTATACTTAATGGTAAATGTTGATAGCTTTTACTCGGATTATAAATAGGAAAAGAATACCCACAATCACCACTTCTATTCAGCTTTATACTGGAAGCCATAGATTTTGCAGTAAGGTGAGGGAAAAAAGTACAAGAGTTAAAAGGAAACAAACTCATTATTTGCTGATGTTCTAATTGTGGAGAAAATCAAAAAAATTCTATAATACCTGATTAGAATTTACAAGTTAGTTATTAGAGTTGCTCAGTAAAATGTCTATATATAAAAATCAATTGTATTCCTATTTAACAATAACAAACAGTGAAATGAAAAAAAATCATTTATGATATTTAAATTCCCTGAGAAACCTAATAAGAATGTATGAGCTCTCTACATAGAAAATTATAAGACTTTGAAAGAATAAACAGAAAACCAAAATAAATACATGGAAGGAAAATACCATGCTCTTAGACTTGAAGACTTACTATTGTGAAGGTATTATTTCCCCTTCATTTGCCCTATAGATGCAAAATAAAATTCCATCAGGTTATTTTTTTACAAGCTAATTCCATAACTTATAAAGAAATGCAGAGGGCCAGGAATAGTGTAATCACCTTTGAACAAGAACAAGATTGGAAGACTTGCTAAGTCAGATATCAAGACATTATAAAGCTACTATAGTGGATGGTATGGTATAAACACAGGATTAAATACTTAGATCACCAGAACAGAATAGAGAGCTCAAAAGCAAGTCTATACATATATAACACATGACCTAAAGGACAGTGAGGAATAACGAAGAATAGGAATGGTCTTTTTAGTAAATGGTGTTGGGTCAATTGTATTTATTTCCATATGAAAAAGAATGAAACTAGATTACTACTTCACATGACATATAAAGATTATTTCCAGGTGAACCATAGATCTCAGTGTTAGGACAAAGCAATAATCCTTTGAGAATATAAGAGAATGTCATTATAAACTTGTAATGTGAAAGGTTTCAGAAATAAGCCAGAAAATATGCTGGCCATGTAGAGAAAATTTAATACACTAGACTAAATTAAACTTAAGAACTTCTGTTTCTCAAAAAACACAAATAAGAGTAAAGAGAGAGCCAAAGAATGTATTGCAATTCATTAATTAACAAAGAAGTCATATCCAAAACATGTGAAGAAGTCCTACGAATCAATAAGAAAAAAAATGGACCACCCAATAAAAGTACAAAAGACTTGAACAGATACACAGAGGAGGATAACCAGCTGGCTAATAAACATGAAAATGTTCTCAACTTCATTAACAACCACTGAAAGATAATTTAGCAAGTTCCTTGATACAAGGTCAATATAAAAATATCAGCAAAATTCCTACACATCAGAAATACAATGTTAAAAAAATACAATATTCAAAAGCAATGGAAATTGTACTTGTCTTAAATGTAACAAGATGTATCTGAAACTTTAATATAGTGGAAGAATTTGTTGTAAACAATATAAGAACTTGTCATCATTAAGGCAGTGTAGTATTGAAACAGGATAAACCAAAGACCAATGGAGGAGAAGAGAGAATCAAATCAGATCTATGCATATATGAAAATGTGATATGTCAAAAATGGTAGTTTAGAGGGGGAAATAATTATTTAAGAAATGATACAGAAATAATTGGTTATTTACATGGGAAAAATTAAATTGAATCCATACTTCATACCATACTCAAAACAATTCCATCATCAATATGAAAGGCAAGTCTTTAAAATATGGAAGTAAATTTCTATGATCTTATGATCATATGTTAGGAAAATTTTTTTAAAAAATATGAAAAACACAAACTGTAAATGAAAAGGTTGTTACTTTTTTTTTAAAAGAATTGCTCATTAAGAGACACTATTTAAAGAATGAAAAGACAAGCCACAATATAACAGATGATATTTGCCACACAAGTAACTGAAAGAGAGTTAGAAAACAAAATATATAAAACATTCCTGTGAATCAATAAGTGAATTAAAAACAAGCTAATGGAGACTGTTTTTCCATTAGCTTGTTTTTAATTCACTCATAATAAGCAAATATTTTCTTTTGTAACTGGAAAATATTTATTTTAAAGAAAGCACAACCTACTCTTAATCAGTGAAATTTAAATAGATCTGTTCAACAAACCAAAATGAACTGCATTTATACTCACAAAATATGAAAAGAATGCTGACAATATCAAATGTTGGTGAGGACAAAGAAATAACAGGAGGCCAGGCGCAGTGGCTGATGCCTGTAATCCCAGCACTTGGGAGGTTGAGGCAGGTGGATCACCTGAGGTCAGGACCAGCCTGACCAACATGGTGAAACCCCGTCTCTACTGAAAATACAAAATTAGCCAGGCATGGTGGTGCATGCCTGTAATCCCAGCCAGTTGGGAGGCTGAGGCAGGAGAATTGCTTGAACCTGGGAGGTGGAGGTTGCAGTGAGCCGAGATTGTGCCATTGCACTCCAGCCTGGGCAATAGAGTGAGACTTCGTCTCAAAAAAAAAGAAAGAAAGAAATAACAGGAACTCTTACGTGTTGAAAATAAGTATGCAAAAATGAATGGATAAAATCACTTTGAAAAACAATTTTTCATTACATTGTAAAATTGAACATATACCTTTCATGTGACTCAACAATTTCACCCCTAAGTGTGTAAATTTGAGAGAAACTTTCAGCGATGATGTGGAACAATGCTCACAGCCACGGAGTTTATACTAGCCATAGCAAAAAAGTCTGAATGTCCATCAAGGGAAAAATGGATAAATAAGTAGATGTGTGGTCACACAACATATTGTCATATGGCCACAAAAACAGATGACTTACAGGTACCCTCCTTAATGCAGAAGAACTTTACAATATTGAGTAAACAAGCAAGTTGTAGAGAGTAAATATACCAGAATGACATTTATATAAAGTTTAGAACAGCCAAAGTTTATTATTAGGAATTATGAATATGTGCTTTTATTTTTAAAAAGCATAGTGATGATTAACAAAAAATTCAGGATGCAATATAAGATTATCTAATTTTCATAGTTATTAAAATAAATTGGGATGTTGCACAACGGGTTTCAAATATAAAGGGGATGTTTTCTTTGTTAAGCCAATTTGTTATTTCTTACAGTTTGTGTATATGTTATGAATACTCTTTTCTATATAAGGAGACTTCAAAAAGTTAATAGAAGTGGAATTAAGAGATAAAAATTAAAAATATAAATTTATTTCTCAACATAAGCTCCATCAAGTTTGACACTTTTGTAAGTGATGATATCAGCCATATAATCCATTCCTAAAGAACTGAGGATCCTGGGAATTTAACCATGTAAATGTAGTCTTTTTACATAAGTAACTGAAGAAAAATAGGTGCCCTTTAAGGACTTTTTTAAGATTAGGAAACAAAAGGAAGTCAGAAGGAACCAAGTCGGGACCATAAAATGGTTGCCTAATAATTTTCCATAGAAATTCTCACAAAATTGCTCTTGTTTGATGAGAGAAATGAGCAGGGGCATTGTGAAGAACTCTCTGGTGAAGATTTCTTGTGCGTTTTTCAGCTAAAGCTTTGGCTAACTTTCTCCAAACACTCTGATAATAAACAGATGTTATTGTTCTTTGGCCCTCCAGAAAGTCAACAAGCAAAATGCCCTGAGCATCCCAAAAAGCTGTTGCCATGACCTTTGCTCTTGAATGTTCTCCTTTGGCTTTGACTGGACCACTTCCGTCTCTTGGAGGCCATTCCTTTGATTGTGCTTTGTCTTCAGGATCGGACTGGCAAAGCCGTGTTTCATCTCTTATCACAGTTCTTCAAATAAATGCTTCAAGATCTTGATCTCACTTGTCTAAAATTTCCATTGAAAGCTCTACTCTTGTCTGCAGCTGATCTGTGCAATCGTTTTGGCACACAAGTGTTAAGTTTGCTCATCTTATTTTTTTTTAGTCAGAATTGTGTAAGCTGAACCAATTGAGATGTCTATGGTGTTGGCTATTGTTTCTGCTGTCAATTGTCAGTCCTCTCCAATTAGGGCACAAAGGATTAATTTTTTCCTTGCAAATTTATGTGAATGGTTTGCTGCTGCAGGCTTCATTTTAACATCATCTCATCCCTTCTTGAGACAAGTTATCCATTTGTAAACTGCTAATTTCTTTGGGGCATTGTCCCTATTATCTTTACATAAAGTATAAATTAGTTCACCTTTCTTCCTCCCAAGCTTCACTGTAAATTTGATGTTTGCTCATGCTTCAATTTTAGAAGAATTTATGTTGCTCTGATAGAGACTCCTCAAACTGATGTCTTATCCTTCTTGTTGCCTCAAACTAGATCCTTTTCAGACATGTTATAACAAATTAGTATGAGTTTATTTCAGTGTAAAAAATTTTTAAACACATGCTTAGTTTTTAAATAATGTGTATTTTCCATGAACTATTTGAAGTCCTCTCACAGATTCAATGTTTTTTAAAAAACAAGTGGATCATGAATAAGTAATAGTATGTATTAAACCAGCCTTTATATTTCTACATCCATTTGGATTATTTTTAATAAAACAAGAAAGGGCTTTGTGTGCTCATAGTGGTCATGGAAGTTGTGCTCACGAAGAGCTGGGATGCTTGTGAATTGAGCAGATGAGTGAATTGTGAGGAAGACCATTGTAGATGCAACAGAGGGAAGAGGAAGACAATGAAGTTATTTCTTTTTTTTCCTTTCTTCCCTCTCCCCTCTCGTTTCTCTTCCCGTTCTCAATACTCAGCTACCATGGAACTGTGCAAGGCAAGAATATGTTTACAATATGC